>NC_000003.12:165675270-165826786 GCF_000001405.40 Homo sapiens | reverse complement strand
TTCAAAATGTCTTATTAAGGAAGTAAAAGTAGAATTGGAGCTGTAATTATCATTTAGGAAAATGAGTTTTCAAGTTCATGATTCATGAAATGTTTTAATAAATTCTTCTTAATTAGTAAATCTATGTCTACTATTTATAATCTTCATTGAAATATAATGTACATACTGTAAAAATATACACAATAAACATAAAGATCAGTAAATTTTTACCAATATGTACAACTCCATAAAGATAAAGCATAATTCCATTGCCTCAGAATAAAGTCCCCCCCCACCTCTTTGCAAACAGCCATCTTACTCCCCATGTCCAGTCAATCACTGATTCTATTTTTATTATAGATTAGTTTTACCTTTTCTAGAGCTTTATATTCATGGTATCATAGCCTATATAATCTTGTGTCTCGCTTCTTTTGCTCAGCATAATAGAATTGCAATTCATCTGTGTTGTATGTGTAAAGTAGTTTATTTGTTATTCACTGCTAAGTGCTATTTCCTATGGATGATTGTACCACTACTTGTTTATCCATTCACTCATACGTTGTTTCCTTTTGGGGATATTATGACTAGCATTCTACGAATATTTTTCTGGAAGACTTTTGTCTTGTTGTAGAAGATGTTTTTTTTCTCTTATTTTGAGTAAAAAGTGAGAGGAATTGCAGGAACACATATAAGCACATGCTTATTTTTTTTAAAGAAACTGTTCAACTATTTTCCTTAGTTGAGAATTTTATACTCCCAAAAGCAGTGATGTACCAGAGCCCCACTTGTTTCACATCTTCAGCATCACTTGCAACTAATCAATCTTCAATTTTAGCTGTTCTTCTGGCTTTGTAATGACATCTCATTGTGCTTTTGCTTTGTTTCTATCTGATGGATATAGATGTGAAACATCTTTTCTTATGCTTACTGGTCATTGGTATTTTTTCTATTTTGAAATGTTTAAGTCTTTTGCCAATTTTTATTGGGTTTATCTCTCATTGACTTGTAAGAATTCTTATATTCATAGGTGGAAATTGAACAATGAGAACACATGGACACAGGAAGGGGAACATCACACACCGGGGCCTGTTGTGGGGTGGGGTGAGCGGGGAGGGATAGCATTAGGAGATATACCTGATGTTAAATGACGAGTTAATGGGTGCAGCACACCAACACGGCACATGTATACATGTGTAACTAAGCTGTACGTTGTGCACATGTACCCTAAAACTTAAAGTACAATAAATATAAAAAGATACATATCCTATGTATTTTCAATATTTTCTCCCAGTTTATATCTTACTTTGATTTTTAAAATGTTGAATTTCAATGAATCTCAGCTTATTAATTTATTTCCATCTTATCAAATAAATATTTCCCTACACCAACATTTGTGAAGACTGGTTTTTTTTTCTGTTTTCTTCTTGCTTTATGGTTTTAGCTTTTTACTTTTGATTCATAATATTATTTACATTCATATCTGTGAACTTTTAATGTAGGCATTGAGGTTCATTATTTCCCATATAAATATTCAGATACTACATCACTATTCTTTAGAAAAGACACTTCTTTACTTACTAAATTACTTAGGCTACTTTCTTGAAAATCAACTGACCATATACGTGTGGATATGAATGAGTACATTTTATTCTGTCCCACTAAATGGTCTCATGTCTATTCTTATGCCAGTACTGGAGTGTCTTATATAGTATGTCTACACAGTATTTTTTTAATTGGAGAGTTTAAAGGAGTACACTATGTTTTCACAAACAAAACTTTTGATTTGAAAAAAAAACAGTTATGTCTATTTTAGTTTTGCATTTCCAAATAAAGATTAGAATCAGCTTCTCAGTTTTCACAAAAGCTGATTAGGTGTTGAAATGATTGATTAATGTAAAGAGAATGTTCATATTAACATTACTGCTTTTAAATCCATGAATATGGTATACCTTTCCTTTTATTTTGTTATTTTTTAATTTATATAAATATTTAAAAGTTTTACATGTACAGTCCTTGGATATATTTAACTAAATTTATCCCTAACAGTTTTATGTATTTTAAAATTTAGATTTTGCTAGTATCTAAATATACACTTGATTTTCTACGTCATGCAAGCTTGCTAATTTCACTTATAAAGTTTGGTAGATTTATCAATTTTTTAATTTGGGGGTTAAATAAGCTATTTTCTGTGAATGATGGGGGACAGTTGGCTTCTTCCTTTTCAATATTTATATCTATCGTTTTCTTGATGATTTTGTTATTGCATTCTCTAGGATTGTTAGCACAATATTAAATAATAGATGTGGAGCATATAGTTTCAAATCTTAGAGGGATGAGTTCACAATTTTGGTATTGTCTATATTAACTATAGTTTTGCCCTTCGTCAAATTTAGGAAATTCTCTTCTATTCCTATTTCTTGAGAGTCTTTATTATAAATAGATATTAAATTGTGACAAATGCTCTTTCTGCTTCTATTGAAAGGACCATCATATTTTTGTTGCTTTGTCTTCTCATTAATTTTGTTAGTGTGGTGAATTATATTAAAACAATCTTGCATTCCTAGAATAAAAACAACTTTATCATAATATAGTGTCATTTTAATATATTTTTATATTGTTTTCTAATAATAATATAATTTATTGATGTTTTCCTCTTATTCATGAAAAATATAAGTATACAATTTTGTTTATTTTAATTTCTTTGTAAAGCTTTCATGTAAGAATAATCTTAGGCTGAACATGGTGGTTCATGCCTGTAATCCCACCACTTTGGGAAGCCAAGGCAGGAGGACTGCTTGAAGCCCAAAGTTATAGACTAGCCTGAGCAACAAAGTGAGAGAGTCCATCTCTACATTAAAAAAAAAAAAAAAAAAGTTGGTTGGGTATGGTGGGTATGGTGCCACACACCTGTAGCCTCAGCTACATGGGAGGCCGAGGCAGGAGGATCACTTGAGCCCAGGAATTCATGGCTGTAGTGGACTATGATCAGGGCACTGCACTCTAGTCTGGGTGACAGAACAGATCTCCTCTCTGAGAAAAAAAATATGTAGTAATCTTCCTTCTGCTTCAAGATTTTTTAGTTTGCAAACCATTGGGATTATTTAAGTCTTTAAATATTTAACATATTTCGTCAATGAAACCACTTAGATCTGGAGTTTTCCTTATGGGAAAATATCTTATTATAAATATAATACTTCATAGGACATAGAGCTATCTAGACATCTATTCCTTCTTGATTCAGTAGTGATAGGTTATAGTTTTCAAGGATTATTTTTCCAGTTATTCCATTATCAATTGGCATTCCCCTTTTCTTAACTGTCATAGGTTTGCATTGCCCATTATCCAGTTTCTGAAATTCATTGCCTTGTTTGTTCTGTCCAGTATTATAATTGTTTATGATGAGAAGGCTAATCTCACCTTATCATGGATGAAGGTGAAAGTCCAACACTTTCCTCTCCGTTGGTATTTTAAGGGCATCTTAACATTTATAGATCTCATTCAGTTATATAAAACTCATTTTTCAGTTACTTTATAAATTATCAAAGAGATACAAGATTTTTAAATTTGATTTCTTAATAAAATTAAAGGTTATTTTGAGCTAGCACTAAAGGACATGCAAATTTGATGTCTTTGGTTTCAGTGTTTTAAGATTTCTTACAGAATAGAAGTCATAATATAATTTAGGCCTTTGCTAACTGGAATTGCTACCTATACATATTTTACTTCGTTTTGTTCTTCCTCTAATGCTACCTGTAGAAATGAACTTAAAATTTTACCTAAATAACACACAGGTCTATATGTGCATTATGTCTTTTATATTATAATATATGTGAAAATATCAGTACAACATAATACGTCTACCAATCACCCATCCAAGAAATAACTTGATAGCGAAAAAAATTAAGTCAACCAGAACTTAATGAAATGTTGTCAATACTATCCCAGTGGTACAGAAAATTGGTGAAATTAAACTTGGGTTATGAGAAAGACCAGAGCACTAAAGAAGGAAAATATGCCAAATGTAATTAGTAAGATAGTATAAAATGGAAGTTATCATTATTTCAAAACCCCTCCAGCTTCTTTCTACTCTTGCAGATGATCTTTTCTTTACAATATCCTCCCTTGGTGCTGTATTCATTCAGAGCTTCTTCAGTGTAAAATCTCAGAGAGAACCATTCACAGTGCAGTTACACAGCCTTCCAGATCATGTGTGACAGCCAATGTAATGTTCCCAGTGTCAATCTTTTTACAGATCCTTTGTATATGTAAACTTAGGTAAGCTACTTAAAATTCCCTGATATTTTTTTCTTATCTGTAAAATGGGAATATAAATATAACTCTCTCATTGCCATTAAAACTTGTCATTGACAGAAAATTGTATTCCACTTCTCTATTTAAAAAAGTCAGTTCTTCCTCATGCTCTATTCTCATCTAAGATTAAACTTAGCTTCCACACCAAAAAAAGTACAATTGTTTAATTTCCTGACTCAAAACTACTTAATTAATCAACTAAGCTTTCAAATAAAGGTAAACTTTAATATTGAGGCAATTTACTTGCTTCTATACTTTTTCATTCATTCATTCATTCATAGCCTCTTATTTATTTATCATTTATTTATTCAGAACCTCTCTGAAATGGTTAATATTTTCTAATGCTTTTTTGCCAGGAATAAATGTTCTGACATGTCACTTTTATTTTGTCCTGTTTTGATATCATAAAATCACAAGCTACTTAACAAAGTAATTTGGAAGTAACATCACAGCACACATGCTGCTATTCTCATATCATAATATTTTATTTATTATTTATTCCCTTACACTTTAAGGAAATTTATCACAGAATGAGCAATTTATTAAACTTGAACAAAAATGTATTAATACATTTTTCACCACTGAAGTTAACTGATCTGGAAAAAAGTAAATGAGAACAGTTCTTGATTTTTGTAATGGGGAGTGGGTAAGACAATTACATGCTAAGCCAAATGCTGTTAATACACAAGGTATTTTAAAATGATTGGGACAATTTGAAAATAGATATTCATCTTTTTACTAAATTTTAATTGTAATAATCAGAAATTGCAGATTTGACAGATTCCTAAAGGAATCAATTTTGTTTCTGATTTGAGATACACACACCCACACTGAAGGAAGGGTGGCCATACAGATGGCCATAACGTCATTAAAGTACCTGAAATACACTCAATAATTTGTTCTCTAATGTTTTTAATGTAATTTTAATTTAATATTTAGCATTTAATTTGTATATTTTTATATGACACAGTAAAAAATGGATTGAAATAACAGTATTTTAACATCACTTATTTCCCAAATGGGTATATTTTCTTGGTGCGCTCTCTCTCTCTTTTTTTTTAATTGGAATCATTCCATGTTTTTAAATGACAACAGAAAAACTGGGGAAAGGTCAAAGAAATTATGGATGGAGAAATCGTGCTACTTCATTCTAAATGTCTGTATAGGAATTTAGCATATATTTATACTTATTATATAGTATTTGTGCAAATCCCTTCACCAAGAAATTAATTTCCAAATTATAATTGAATTTACTTTTTGTTATATTTTTCAACTAATAAATATTATAGAACTTTACCACAATACAATTCTTAGAGGTCTCTTCAATATATCAAAATAATATCAGTTAAAGATACTCTTAACATGAACAGTGTACTATCACAATGACAAGGTGTGAGGTATATGCATTCTATTATTAGAATTTTAAAGTGCTGAAATGATGAGACTATCTAACTTTTTTAAGTGAGAAAATTGTGTTCCATAGAAGAAAAGTGAATTGCAACTAACAGGTGACAGAACAATGATTAACTGTGACTCAAGGCTATTAACTTTCATTTCCTTGTATTATACATTCGCCAGGCTGCCTTCACCATGAATTCTTAAAAGCAGTCATTAAGTATGCTTACAAAATGCATTTGGTTGTAAACTTGTAATTTTAAATGTTAGCATGCTTATACCTGCTTGGTTAATGTTATAGAGGTAAGGGCAGAGAACAGACTAAAATTAGACATCATGAGACTTAGAGGCAAGTTTAAGTTTGTGAGACTGTCATCTGGCCATCTAGTCCAATTATTATCAGACTTATAATTAGATTTTCCGACAGATAATAGTTCACGTGGCTTCCAGAGTGAAGAGAAAAATTCTTACCCTCTGATTCTACAATTATTTGTGGTATATTATCATAATTAACCCAATGGAACATTTTCATGACTTTAAAAAAGAATCAGGGCTTAAATCCCCTTGGATTTATTTTATTGTTATCATAACAGCATCAATGTTCTATCACTTTAAATCTTTTTTTCTCCTTAGAAATTAATTTAGGAGTTACTCAGAAAAGAATAAGGCAAAAATGCCAACTGTAGTATTCCTGTAACTTACCTTAATTTTAACAGATAGAATATAAATGTAGGTTTAAAAAAAATGGATACCCATTAGTGTAATGTATTTGAAAAGAAATAATTGTGTTATGAGACAATTTAAAGTGTATATAAGATCACTTTCAGAACCATTTCAGAGTGCAGCAATATTTTTCAATGAATGACAGTGGAATGAGATAGAGAAATCCGATGTCCCCCAAAGGGGCAAATCTACAAAGAGAGCTATAAAACTGAGATATGTTTGATCAAGTATTTCAGAATACTCTCTCGCAGTGCAGCAGAAAAAAACTAATGCACTCAGTATAAAATGGCTCATTAAAACATGGAAAATCTCATTTATAGGATCGATTTACTTGGAAATAACCTGATTTGTTTTCTATGTTTCTGCACATGTTTTTTAGTTGGAAAAAGTATAACATTCAGTCCACTTGTACATATTAAATTCAGTCTAATATTAATAAATCATTTTTTTAGAAATCAAAGTAATAATTTCAGGAATGTACACACAGATGTAATGCTTCAAAAGACCTGTCAGAAATAATAGCTTAAATATTGCAAAGTAACAAAACATAGTAAATAAAATGTGAATTTATATATTTTTCTGTATGGAGTTTTTCTGTTCCACAATCAGATATGACTCAGGCTAATGATTATTTATTGAATTTAGCAAAAACATAAGAACAGAAACACACCTAAAATATTTTTAAAACTACAAACACAGAAGACAAGGTTAACAGCATAAAAGAAAATAGTGGTAGCAGCAAAACAGATAGAGCCTTAAAATAAATAAGTATGTTGATTAAAAACTATTTTGTGGTTAACACTCTTCTCATTGTATAAACCATATAAAAAGTAGTGTCACTTACTGGTAAATGCATTTATGAAGGAATGTACTTCCTAGAAAAGAATTGGAATGATAATTTTTTAAATTATAAACACTTTTAAGAGATGTAATACTATTTATTTTAATTACTTTTAATTCTAAAAATGTTGAAATAATCCCAGTTAGAAGTTAAAAACCTAGGCCAGGCATGGTGGCTCATGCCTGTAATCCCAGCACTTTGGGAGGCCGAAACGGGAGGATCATCCGAGGTCAGGAGTTCGAGATCTGCCTGGCTAATATGGTAAACCCCATCTCTACTAAGAATACAAAAATTAGCTGGGTGTGGTGGTGCACGCTTTTAATCCCAGCAACTCTGGAAGCTAAGGCAGGAGAATCGTTTGAACCCAGGAGGCAGAGAATGCAGTGAGCCAAGATTGTGCCAGTGCACTCCAGCCTGGGCAACAAGAGCAAAACTCTGTCTCAGGAGAAAAAAAAAAAAAAAAGAAGTTAAAAACCTAAACACACAGTACTTAAGAATTAATTTTTTTGTTTATTTTTTCACCTCCAAAGAAAGGCCTTGACTTTTAATTGAATTTCCAACATAGCATGATGCATCAAAAGAGCATGGCATTAGAGGAAAATAGCTTGATTTTGAAGCCATGTTTGCCACATAGTTGCCAAGTTAATTGTTCCCTCTATGTCTCTATTTCTCTTATAAAACCTTCCTCACATGGTTATTGTGAAAACTTGCCCAGTGAATAATACGTATATATGTATTTTATTGTAGATGCAAATAGATCTGGGTATACCTATAGATAAGTCTGTAAGCAACAACTAGATTGGTAATAGGATGGTATTGTTGTTCTTTTCACTAACGTCTCTTCCTCTGCTTCATGATCTTCGTGTTGGTAGTTTCCATTTACTAGATGTTTCAGTAAGATCCAAGCAAGAGTCTAAATATTCCAGATAGACTTTGCATGTAGTCTTTACAACCACTCTGTGTAAAATGCATTAATATCCCTATTTTACAAAGAAAGCTACTGATGATTGGAAAGTTTAGGTCACACAACTAACATTTGTCTTTAATTTTTTAATTTTTAATTTTTGTGGGTTAATTTTTCCACCTGCATGTCTTGATTTAAAAATGATATTTTAAATTATGGTACCTAAAATAATGCTTTAGTAGTCCTAAAATCAGAAAAACAGTAGTTAAATATAAGAATATATTGTTGGCAGAAATATGTCTCATCCTCCTTATGAAGTTACCATTCTCAGTGTACTAGGTAAACTTTATCCAAAATGACATTTTATAATTTCTAATTTCAAAATCTATTTATTTATTTTATAGTTTATATTATATGCTTTGTTTCATATTTTGTAATTATGTATTTATATAAAATGTGAAAAATAAATTTGATCATAACAATTTACCTGTAGCTGTAATTATAAAGCAGTATAAAATTTAATAAAACAAGATGCTTCTGATTCTTCAGCATTCCCTCAGATAGACATTTTTGAATGAAAGTCATGAGATTGTTTCCAAGGTACACTGCTTTTAAAATCACAAGTTATTAAATAATACTTTTCAGTATAAAATAATTATGGTCAGATTGATGAGTTTTAAGAAATTATACCTGCTGCAATTTTCCTTCTTTAGATTGTAAGGCCTTTGAGGGTAAAGATTTTCTCTCTGTTCTCCATGCCTCACTGTTTTTTATTTGCTTTGTTATCTTTGCCTATTTATGTTGTGTTTACTGCTGCATCCCTATTACCTCAATAATGCTTGATGCATGTGAGCTTTCAAATATATTTGTGTGTTATCATGGTGAGAGTTCTGGAAAAACTATAAAACACAGAAGCATAGAGCAAGATGCAGATAGAATGTGTTATCATTTGTAAGGCGGTCACGTAAAGCTTCTGACAAAGTTCTATTAAAATAGAGGGACAGAGTAAATCATGTGAATATCTGGGGAAAAATTTTCCCAGAAGAGAGAACAACCTCTAAGACTAAAGTATTTGGGATGTTGCAGGAACAGCAAGAAAGATAGTGCGGCTGGAATAGGTATGTGAAGGGGAAGTGATAAGAGGTAAGGTCAGAGAAGTACAAAGAGCCAAGATATATGATTTGAAGCTTGGATGAGTTTCTGAAATCTTTCCTGAGTGAGACATTTAGTTATGAAATATTCAGGAATTTGAGTAGCATATTTTGGCTCAAACATTATAAAGAAATCTCTGACTGGTAGGTACACAAGCATGAAGTGTACAGAAGAACTAGGAGGTTATTACAGCAATCCAGTTGAGAAATGATCATAGATTAGGTAAAAGTGGGAAAAAATGATCAGAATCAGGTTATACTTTGAAGGAAGGTCTGACAATATTTGCTGAGATATTGGATGTGGAATATAAGAGAATAAATTGGGACAAGGATACTACACTGCAAAATTTTTTATTTGAGCCACCAGAAGAGTAGAGGTAACATTTCCTGAGATATTAACAACTATTGGAGGATATGGTTGGGAGAGTGAAATCAAAAGTTCTATTTCAGACATTTCAAGTTTAAGGGACCTGTTTTTCCAGAAATATTTAAATTAAATTGTTTAATTCATATTTAAATTTTTATTGTGCCAAGACATCTGAAATTCAAGGGAGAAAAAGGGGCTATAAATTTGGTATCTAAAAGTATGAAGATGGTGTTTAAAGCTATGAGACAGGTTTATTTCACTTACGGAGGTTTTAGATAAAACACATGTCTAAGCACCTCAAGGTTAGAGGGAGGGAGGAGGAAGAAAAAACTGTAGAGAGAGAATGGAGTAGCCAAATGAATTGGAGGGCAACTAGGAGAACATGGTATCCACTCAAGACTAAATAAAGAGAATATTTCAGGAAAGGAGTATCCGTATAGAATATAGAATGAGTACAAAGAAAATTATGTGAAATTGTGTATGATTGTGGGTTTGGAAATGTGGACATATTGGTAGCAAAGATGTGGTGTTTTGATGGGATGGTGGGAACTAAAACCTTAATAGAGATGCAAAAGAGAATGAGAGGAGAGGAATCAGTAATTGCAATTTGAGGCAACTCTTTCAAAGAGCATTACTCTAAAGTGGATCAGGGAAGTCAACTCAGGGGATGGCTGGACAAGAGAGGGTAGAGGTGTTTTCGATTGGCCTTGCTTTTTCATGGGGAATATTGCAACATGATTGTGAACTGATGGGAATGGTACAGTGATTATAATGATTAATCTGGTTTTGTGTAATCATCAACTCTATCTACTTAATTTTATTTACTTTCCTTATAGAAAACTATCCTCATAAATACAATGCAAACCACTTGGTTAGAACTTAGGTCATCAGTAATTAAGACTATGTGGATCTAAAATAAAAGGAATCAAGAGACAGGTAGCAAAGAGAAAAACAGACAACATCCTAGATATTCTGAACATCAAAAAAGTATGACAAATGTTTCTTTGATATGTATTCCATAGAAAAGGTCATATTGAAACCTATTGACTTGTACTGTGCCCTAAATTTTAAGAGAATTACTCATTGATTTTTTTTTGATGAAAGACAAATCAGAAACAACAATTTTCTAAGAAGGCATAGGCAGAAGGCAAGTAACCTTACAATAGAACTGAGAGGTCACAGTCTAATTGCATGACAAGAAAGCGGGGGAAAATAACTTCTCATAAGCAACCTGGTATAAGTAGTGACAAAATATTGACCCTAGACCACAAAACATGTACGTGCTGCTCTCTGTGTGTCCTTGAACATTCATAGAAGTATTATGTAATGTCTAATAGAAAATTAATCTGTTAAAATATAATGAATATGTAGTAATAAAAATACTTGTCCTTAAAGAATATACTTCTTATGTAATATGTAAAGAATAATAATAATTTAGCCTATTGTATAGTCAGGATATTCTAAAGAAAGTACTGACCAGGTAGCCTTTGGAGTCATAATTTTAAATCTATAATATTAAAAATTACATCAATTAAATTTATTATTGCTAACATTTGCTAGCTATTGCTAACATTTGCTAGCTCCCTGCTCAGGACTTCACTTTCATGGTTGTAGCAATTCTCTAAAGAAGTATCATCATCCTCAACAGGTGTTGATAAGGATATTGAGGCTTACAGAGCTGAAGCTACTCAAAATTCCACAGCTATCAGTGAAAACCGGAACTCCAAATTGAACTTTGTGGTGTGATGGAGGAACCCAGATCCATCTTCCCTAAACTTTGCTCCCTCTCTATTAGAATTTTTGCGTACCACTAGGGAAGGAAAAGAGCAAGAATTCAATCTCCTTTGCCCTTATTTTTTTTTTTTTTTCTAAAATCAAAGTGTTAATACCTATCTCCTTGGCTGTTATGGAAATTTGAGAAACTATATGTAATATGCCTGACATTATTCCAGATACATACTGTAAGTAATATTGCCAGATAAAATACAGGACATTCAGTTAAATGTGAAAAATAAGCTAAACCAGGAATATATATATGTAATATACATTGTTTTAAATATATAAGTATGATACTAATACTAACATATATTGGTATGAATATAATACTAATACTAATATTTAATTATAAATATTTACTAACACTAATATTATAGATATAAAATTTATAATTAAATATTAGTATAAGTTAAAAATTAGTATAAATATAATACTAATTCTAACATATATTAGTATAAATATGACCCATACGTCTGATGGGACATAATTATACTAAACATTATTTGTATTTTAGTTGGAATTCACATTTAACTGGGTGTTTTGCTTTGTTTTCACTAAATCTGGTAAACCTAACTGCAAGTTAGGGACTAAAGAGACTAGGAAGTAGCCCCAAGGAACAAAATTTTGACAAAAGCTGAAAAGTATGTCAGACATAAGTTTAGAGAAGTTCAGCAAAGGGCCCAGGAGTTGGTAGGCAGAAAAGAAATCAGGCCAGCAAGTGTTGGAAAATGGGGACTCTAGGGACAAGCTGCATTTCTAAGATTTGGCTGAATTCCTGAAGATTGGCCCTTGGCTAGGCAGGGCTCAGCATGCACGTTTCAGGTTTCCAGTAAGTATTAGTGAGCTGAGGAAAGTAAGGATTAACATCATAAGAGCAAAAACTAAACTATTAACATTATGATTAAAATAAACTTGCCTTCTCCTTTAACCTGAATCTCTAAAGCTATAACTATGTATTTGCATTTATTTTATTGCTTTGGATTTTTCTTTCATTTTATCTTCTTAAAAAAATGGTAACATCTGGAGAATAAATATTTCAAAGAAGGTAGTCATAAAAATTTTGAATCATATTAATGAACCCTGAAATAGAGAATGAGAGGAGAATAACATAAACCAGAAAATGTGTTATTTGTAAAACCTTAAACTAATTCTATTTACAGCACTAGACTGCAATCTCAGATTTCATGTGCAAATTATTTATTACTAAATTTACTAACAATAATCTTATATACTTAGTATACAATTAATTCAGATATCGTAATATGAGGGATACTACCTATATTTATTATAATGAAATCATTGTGGAAGTCAAAGAAACCTAACACTTACGAAAAATTACTGTATTTCTGGGATGTACAAATCCTAATCTTGCTTTCTCCATCAACTTTGGCGTCAGATATTCTGTTAGTTACTCAGACTTACATTAGAGTATATGTAAATTAAGACTTTTTTTAAATCTCTACCTTAAATTATAGGTGATAGCTGAACTGGTTGTTTTTTATCTTTCTTAATTTAATTACATTATTTATCTTCCTTTAGTACAATGCAGACCATTTATATATAAAGAATAAATAATATTAGAGTCAGATAAATGATTATCTACTAAATATAAAATTAAACCTTTATAATTGTCCTTTGTTATCCTTGAAATTTCTGCAGAAAATATGCTTTTAACTCATACGTTTATTTTTATTGTGTTTCAACATTTTTTCCTTCTTTTCTGGACTAGAAAAGATTTTGAAGTAAAGGAATCGAAATGATAAGTTCAATCACAGTTGTAACACAGTATGCTTGTAATAAACTTTTCAATGAGATTTCAAAAAGAATAAATATTATTTTGTAAATAGCATTGACTTTACAAAATATTGGTAAACCAGAGGTTTGAACCTACTTTAGATATAGACACATAATCAAATATCTACAAATGGAAAAGAATAAGATGATGAAAATGCAATATTTAGTAATTTTAGAACGAGATATTATTCATTTAATAAGGAAGAAAATATGAGTATAAAATATATGATTATTATAAAATAGTAAACCTAATGATTTGATTACTTAATACCTAAGCATAATATAAAAATTCATTCAGCAATAGAGAGATTTCAACTACATATTAAATTATCTTGTAAATTTTATTGGTAAGTAGTCTTATTTAATAGTATGATTCAGAGCACTGTTTATTATAATTTTGCAACTTCTCTTGCTAAATCCACAGTAGTCTCTAATTTTATGATATTTTTTCTGGTAAAAAAGTTTTAAACAATTATCCTGATAGGAAAAAAAAGGACTCTCATGGAATGCTTCAAACCAAAAGTAATGATGATAGAGTAATTAGAAAAATGTAAAAATCCTATTGCATTATGAAGGATATTGAACATTTATAGTAGCTTTCAATGAGGACACAGAGAAAGAGGTATAGAAAAAAATTCTGGAAGAACTAATGCTGGTGTAAACTGCTATGGACCCCAGTCCTTTAATGACCAGACTATACTTTCATATCTGAGGGGGCATTTAAGGAAGCACCTCTCCAATACTCACACACGATTAGAGTATATGCATATTCACTGTATTATGCTTTCTTTGAGAGAATATTGAAGCCTTTTTCATTATGAGAAACTACCACATTAAAATACAGCCCAAGTAAATAACAATTATGCCACTGGCAATGAAAAACAACATGGAAATTTTTATGTAAAATATTTAATTCTTTTTTTTATTTTTCTATTGTTCTACAGTAGTTGAGTTCTAAATACAAACAAGAGATAAATTTTCAAATGAAATAAAGATGTGATTATACAGAAAATTGTAAATGCCCATGCTAAATCCAGTTTAAGCATGGAACACTCCATTTGTTTGAAAGTATACTAAAATCATTTTATTGTTTCCCTATGTGTAACATGCAAAATAAATGGTTAGATTATCATGCCAATAAGAATAGATAATGTCTAAAATTATATATAGAGTAAAAATGTTGATAAATACTTGATAAACTGTGTGATAAAGATTTGATAAAATACATGATAAACGTAGTGGGACCTCAAAAAAAAAAATCAAAGACTCATGAGATCCATTTTTTTTTCCATTGATAGATTGATGTCTAAGAAATAGTTGGATAAGGATATTAATAGTATTTTTAGTACTTCCAAACTGTTCAGCTACTGATAAAATTGTATATCTTAGAGTTGGTACTAAAATATTGAGAATGCAAAAACATTTATGTATATAAACTTGTTTATTCCTGATGTAATTCAGGTGGTCCTCCGTCTGTTCTTGAAGGTCAGTATTCACAGTCTTTAGTATACAGCCTTCAGATACTTTGAGCTTGAACTAATCTACACTAAAAGGAATCTCTGGAGATTGAAAGATGAGACGGACAGAAAGGAACAAAAGGAGTAAAAATAGTCAAAAGGCTAGATATGCTTTGAAATGGGCTTCTGTATCCAAGTCTTTCTGACACCAAAGCCCATTTCTTTTTACTAGACCACCTAGCTACCTTGTCACTCTAAATTTACTGTTTTGATTATTATTTCTTAATCCTCACTGGGCTCAGTACTTATTATTAATAATATTTCTGTGTTTAGGCTCTAACTCTATGCATTAGGAAGGTAAAACTATGGTTATCTGTGTACACTATCATCTTGCTCAGGAAATATTATTCTAAATTATTATATTGTTTTATTTGAAATTTATAAATTAAAAATGTAATACTGAGAACAGAATTCCAAAAATAGAATTTTCTAAGAGCAAATCAATTTTTGTCAGTTCAGTGTTTTTTGGTAGACACAGAGAATTCAGTTATTCCTAGAGCATTACCATTGTCTGTTCATGCAAAACCTCCCTTATGTTTAAAATAATTTTATTATTTTTTCATTTATCACACATTCTTTCATTCCACACACACACTTACACTGCTCTCTTAGGCACATCTACATACAACTTGTTATCCATCCATGAATATGTAGGTAAGGATGTTTTCACTTTTTTATCAGCCTGGTTTCCTTAGGTATCAAATGTAAATTCAGATAGAAGAAGCCTTAAACATGCACCTGCATATGTAGAGATCATTTCTAAATTTAACCTTTCTGTCAAGAGTCTAACTGCCTACAAAATGGAGCGGTCTAATCCTCAATTTTAAATTCACCTATAATTTTACTTTTTCACTTCTGAGCAAGATAGTTTCGATTCTTGGGTGTTTATATTCTACTAATTAAAATATAACATTGCTGCTATTTTCATGACTGATTTTTTAAAATAAAGATTTCTTGCGTCTTAAATATCAATTAGGTAATGCAGCTCTACTTGTATCGTCACTGTGCAATAAATTTCAGTCAATTTAACGTATAACTCCAATAAGATGTAGAAGAAAAAGGATACTTCACTCCACTACGTATTTTAGTTAGAGTTGTTATATATTAATCTTGAGCCAAACCTCTGTTCTTAGAAAAGTTCCCCATCAGTTTTATCAGCTGGATATGTCATGGTGTGTCCTTTGAGATGAAAGCACCACACCAGTTCTTCATTTAACAGTATACTAAAGACCAAAATATTTTGAAAGAAAATGAAAGAGTAACAGCAAGCTTACCTCAAACACTGCTAAGGAAGCCAATGTTGAAAAACTTACCATTCATTTCAAATGGAGGAACTTAATTCTCCAGATAGCCCCAAAACAGAGCTAACGAACACAATGCATCCCCACTCCCAGCAGCACGTCGACTAGTGGTGTTTGTTTTCATATTTCCTATCATGTTTGTCATGCCTTTAGTAGATGATTTGGCTGGCACAATATCCTAGCCTAGCCTCAGTGTAGAAATCTGGCAATAAAATAACACATCCAAAGATAAAATAAGAACCAATGTTAAGTGATGAATCCATGCAAAGTACTCAGTGAATCTCTTAAAATACGCCTATCTGCACACACAGGAAGGAAATGGATGTGCTGGGAATCTGCATTCTTCTGGAACACCATATGTAATGTCTATTGAGATATTTTGAGTGGGCATAATCTTCCTAGGAGGGATAATATGGAAAACTTTCACAGACACTTTCTGTGAACTAGAATCTGCTGCTAGAATATCACAACTTGAACAGAAGAATATCCTTACCTCACACTGGGTGTAACTGAAGATAACTAACACTTGTTATCAGATATTTATGTTTAAAAACTCAGTAAGCAAAAGATAGCCTATCTGAAACATACTACTTTGTCTACAAAATAAATCTCAACTCTGTAACTGATGTTAAAGAATTATTTCAATCTGTCTGTCACTTAGTAAGCATGACTAAGAATAGTAATTTTAATAGTAACTTATGCTATCAATAATAATAAACATATAAAAGTTTCCTAGGAATGTGTAAAATTCTACTGACCCCTGTAAAATACTAACGAAAGAGTGGAAATAGGAGCATTTTCCCATAAGCTGTGATAAAATAATTCTTAGTATGATAATACTTTTTAAAAAGTTGACAGTTGAAGAAATTTAACTAAGACAATGATGTACTAGACATCCTTAAAGTGAGCTGCTGCTATTACTGTAAGTTTAATCATTATAAAAGCCATGACACTTCTCTTAGAGGATTTGTGTACATTATCATTGGGGAGTACTATATTATGATAGTAAGCTACCCTTGTGTTATGAAAATGCATGGAAATTTGGGTGAATTATTAGAGTAAAATATACCTCACAAACATTTGCCTTAATACAATTTGCCTTAATACATTTGCCTTAATACAAATGATAAATTTGTGCAATGGATCTAAAAAGTTATACATGTAGGATTATATAGACATATACATAGTGAGAAATAACATTTTAATGCACATTGCATATACAAAATTTAAAATCTGCTCATTCATCCTAAATGTTTAGTGCATAATAAAAACATTAAAAGTATACAATAAGTAAGTTTTACTCAGAATGCCATACAAAAAAAACACATGAACATTCAAATTTGGCAATAGTGTAATGCTTTCACAAAAGCTGAAAACTCTCATACATGTTTAAAATTTAAACCACATGGAAGTTGGGTTTAGCTATGGTTTTATACTTGGATTTAAATACGTTTGCTTATATTGGCTTAATGTTGTCCATCCAATCCCTCAAGAGGACCACATAAAATACAAATTAACATTTTTGCGATATAGAAACATGAAAGTCCATAACGGTTTTTTTCTTCCATAAGCTAAATACCAAATAACATTATGATATCCATTAAAAAATTTAATAATATTTTGAGAAATACATATGGATCATTTACTTTTTAAATAAAGTAAGCATAGTCATTGGCTTTCTTACTTTTTAAACTTAATATAATATATAAAGTCAAAAGGGATAAAAACTGTAAGTACATTACTCCATAATTGATAGTTTCCTTTTTTCTTATGTTTTACTTTCTTAACTTATCCAGAGAGAAAATTATATTTAGCATTTTTCTGCAGTATATGCCCGTGTTTTGTAGATATGAATGGCTCTTTAGAAGTACATTTATAGCAACCTAGATGTGATTCAAAATTAGTCTTTTTGGTTGTCAGAAATAAAGTAACCACAGTATAGTCACAGCCTTTTTTTTGAAAAGACAGGATCTTGCTCTGTCTCCCAGGCTGGGGTGCAGTGGTGCAATCATGGCTCTCACTTCAGCCTCAACCACCCAGAGCTCAAACAATCCTCTCAAAGTGCTGAGATTACAGGAATGAGCCACCTCACCCGATCTATAGTCATAGCGTTTCAAATTAAATATTTATTTATCATGTTTATAAAAAACCAAATTGGTATTCAAGTAAAATACATTTTTAATCTTACAACATCATAGATTATGTAGCATTTGTTCATAAAAGTGACTAAAGTATTACAAATTAAACATATCAACAGCTACTAAAAGGAATATATGACTTTCTCATTATTTTCATATGGTACAGGTATCTGGTATGCAAAAATTAGGTATGTATTTGACATATTAAAATAAATCTTGAAATCTATTTTCCATCAGCATATATAAATTAATGACTAGAATCTGTCACTGTTTTTCAATAGCTGGAGTTGGAACACTTAACATTATTTACAACAAGCAATATCGCGCCTGTAATCCCAGCACTTTGAGAGGCAGAAGCGGGCTGATCACGAGGTCAGGAAATCGAGACCATCCTGACTAACACGGTGAAACCTCGTCTCTACTAAAAAAATACCAAAAATTAGCCAGGCGTGGTGGCAGGCACCTGTAGTCCCAGCTACTCGGGAGGCTGAGACAGGAGAATGGCGTGAACTCTTGAGGCGGAGTTTGCAGTGAGCTGAGATCGCGCCACTGCACTGCAGCCTGGGCGACAGAGCGAGACTCTGTCTCAAACAACAACAACAACTACAAAAAAAAACAAGCAACAATATACCAGGTTGTCAGTTTCCATTAAAGGAAATTCAAATCAACAAATGTTAAGCATACAATTTTCACTATGAGTAAATAATTTTTGCATTAAAATACATCAGCCAGGTGTAGTGGCTCATGCCTGTAATCTCAACATTATGGGAGGATCAGTTCGGTGGGCCACTTGAGGTCAGGAGTTCAACACCAGCTTGGCCAACATAGTGAGACCCTGTCTCTACTAAAAATATTGTACAAAAAAAAAATTGCCAAGTGTGGTGGCATGTGCCTGTAGTCCCAGGTACTCTGGAGGCTGAGGCAAGGTAATTACTTGAACCTGGGAGGCGGAGGTTGCAGTGATGAGCCAAGATCATGCCACTGCACTCCAGCCTGGGTGACAGAATAAGACTCTGTCTGAAAAATAAATAAATAAATAAAAATAAATAAATAAATAAATAAATAAATAAATCTCATAATAACATTTCTTTATCTTTATCTCAATCATTATTAAATAAATATCTGAGTGTACTATGCCGCTGATGGTAACTGGTTGTTGAAAACAACTATGTTTTAGGTATATTAAAGTATTATTGTATTCTAAATAGGGAGAACTTTATATTTCCTAAGGAAATTTATTAGACAAATAAGGTTCTAGAAAATATGACTTGATTTTAAAAATGGCCTTTATCATGAGAGATCGCAGAAAAAATAAAAATCATATTATGTCAGAAAGGTAGACAAACATTATAATTCAATTATAATTTACCTCAATCTTCAAGGTTTTTGCAATGAACTTATAAAAAATACCAGTGTGAAAAATTTAAATGAATTAACATGAAGAACTCAGTGAAACATTTTCTTCAGTTTTGTAATATTTTAGCTCTAAAATTAAAAAGGAAATGAAAATTAGATACCATTTACATTTCCTACTCCGCTCCACCAACCCCCCAAAAAAGTAATAATTTCTTAAGGAAAATATGATCGATCATAGTTGTTTTAAAGTTAGAGATTTTGATTGTATTTATTTAACATAACCTCCTAAAGACACGGTGTCATGATTTATAATTGTTTCTATAAGATTATAGTGTTCTGGTCATGCTGTTTTCTTTCTCTAATTTAATAACTGAGTTTTGCATAATCATTCAATACTGTCATAAAGAGAACCAAATATGGCCATTAAACAATTAGAATAATACTTCATTTATGATTTGGCTATTATTTAGGCAGATTTAAAAAACTATATAATTATTATTATAAAGATGTGTTTACACCATTATTTGTGTATCTGATTCTAATCCCTTTTGGTTTTATCCAACATTATGAATGTAAATGATGATCATAAAATATCTGATATTTTATATTAAATGTTACCTCACATCTGTATGATTTACTATAATCACTTCACAAATATTTATTGAGCACCAACTGTGAGCCAGGCACTGGGCTAGGTGCTATGGAGTCAGTATGAATATATCGTAGAGTAAAATGCAGGCCTACCATCACTGAGGTTACCACTTACCGCTGGCAGATAACAGCAAATAAGCAATTTACCAAACCACATAATGAGAACTATACTATGATTAACTACAGGCTTGGGAAATACAACATAGGAGAAACTCAGTCCAGTCTTAGAAGCTTATAGAAACCTTTCTTAAAGAAATAAAAAGTTTTGGGGTAAGATGAAACAGTACAGGCAAAGACCGAGAGGTGATAGAGAAAGAGAAAGTAAAAAGGCAGGTGTGAGGAGACATGAATCTGGGGAGTTATGAAGAAACCAGACTGTACATTTGTAAACCAAGCTTGTTTTAGATTACGTGCCAAGAGCACCATGTGAAAACTTTTTTTTTTAATGTGAGGGGAGAATGCTATCAAATTTGAATTTTAGAAAAATCATTTTGTGTGCAGAAGAGAGAATGGCATAGAAGAGAGTAAGAAAGCTGACAGGGAGAATGAGAGGAGACACATGGTCGTGTTCCAGGGCAGCAATACAAATGGTCTACACTGGGGAGTAACTTTGGGAATGAAAAGACAAGCCAGAGGATGGATTTCAGATGTCCAGAGAATATTATCTATGAGCTCTGGTAATCAGGTAGATATGGAGAGTGTGTGAGAAGAAAGGAAAATCAATGAATGTTATTCAGTTTTCTTACTTAGCAATATCCAGGGCCATTTCATGAGTTAAGAACGTATGTCGGACTGAAAATTAAAGTAAGAAGAAGTGTTTTAAAAATTAGAAAAAGAAATGTGTCATTTCTAAAGGCAAAGAAAGTAAGTTTAACAAAAATAAAAGTAAAAGATTGGTAAAGATTAAAAATATGATCTTTATGTTTAATGATTTAGGTTATTGCTATCATCCATCTGTGCTGTATCTCAGATCTTACAGAATCATATGAAGAGACATGTCTTTCCATCTGCCTACGTGCATATGAGTGTGCAAATATGCTAAAGAATTAAAATATGTAACAAAACATTGTATGCCACTAAGAAACATGTTTTAAAGTCCTTCAGAAACAGGTTTGTGTAACCTAGCAGTAACCTTTAGTAACCTATACTGAAATCTACACTAGTCAAACTAACACATTTTCTAAGCTTCTAAAGCCCTCAACTCTTCTTTTGTGATTTGCAATCTGGCAGCAAAACTAACTGCAGTTTCAACTTATGAACACTTCTTTTACACTGATGCCTGACTGATCGTGAAGATTCTACTTCATCTTCACCCTTCTCAAGTGATGGCTTTTTTATTCTGCTATTCGTGTACCATAGAGCCATATATATGTATATATGTCTACTAAGAGCTCGTTATTTTTTTCAAAACATTATTCCTCCTTCTTCCACAGAATAAACTCTCTTAAAGTAGATTCTACTAGATTACATCAGAGTATACTATTTACATTTTATTCTTGCTGCATTCAACTGCTTAAAGCCTGCTGAATCTTACTCATCCATTGAATATGTTTTAGCATCTAGCTTACTTTCCTTCTATCTACTAAAAATCTTGTAAACATTTTTAATTATCTCAGTGTTCATACAAATAAACTGTGAAATGCTTTGGCCTTTTTCTCTTAATCTTTCTCACCTGCAAGAATCACAACCTTGTTTATGTTTAAATATGTGATTGCTATCAAACAGCTTAATTAATGTGTCTGGATATAAACATGTATACACACTATGTGAATAAATTCAAGACCTTAAACTCAAGAGATTCTTTAATGTTGCCTGGCATTAATGTCTCTAGCCAATTTATTCCTTCAACACTTCTAAAGGATATTTATACCTGTTCTGTCTTCCCAAAACTCAAACATTTCTTCTCTACTTGCACAGCTACAAACTTGCTTTTTACACACTCACACACAAGAAAACAAAACCCAAAATTAATCAGATCGCAAAATCAATTAACTTATCAAAAACCCTGGCCAAGTCCTCTCTACCTCCCTCCAGTTGCAATGTCGATTATGCCCTTGTCTCCCATCTAGACTTGCCAGTGGGATTCTCTAGAGCCCATCCACATATGACTATGCAAGACTTTAGTTCTAAAAGTATTTTTCTTCTTTTTTTAAAAAATCATCTTTGCCCTCCATTTATTCATGTAGTTTTACTACTGTAAAAAAAAATATGTAATCTGAAAAAAAGACTTCACATTGTTTAATAGCTACTTTCCCATTTTCATACTCTTCTTGACAGCAAAACTCACTAATAATTTACCTCTACCAATTGCCCACTTTTATCCTCTCATTCTATATTTAAACTATTTCACTATCCCAATTATCTCATTCCAACTATTCTCATATTGGTCTGTATTTCCATGTTGCGAAGTCACTTAATTATTTCTGAATCATCAGTATTTGATGTGTGTGTAGTCTCTCTCCTCCTTGAAGCATCTCTTTCAGTGGAGTCATGGAAACCCAGAAATCATCAGAGTTTTTTTTTTTTCTAACCTTTCTAGGCTTACCATTTTAGTCTCCTTTGTGATTTCTTCTCATGTCAAAATATTGTAATATACTGCAGCTCAATCCTTGGACCACTCTTTCCTGTGCATGTTTATTCCATGGGTGATATCAGTCAGTTTTACTGCCTTAACTAACATCTACATACTGATGACTTCCAGTTATATCTGCAGCCCAGGTCTCTTCCTAAACCCCTGTGCCTTATGTACGTATCTACTTAAGTATTTAATATGCATTTCAAACTTTATATATTCTTAATTTACTTTTAACATTCTCCTCACATACTTCCCCACTTCAGTTAAAAAAAAACTTCATTATATCTCTTGCTTATGCCAAAAAATTCAAGGTCAATATTGATCATCATTCTCCACTGCCAGTTAATCAGTAAATTCTGTCAACTTGACCTTTAGAAAAATAACCAAACCAGAATTCTCTTTAAGAGTGTACATTGTTTATAATTATTAGGTCCATTACATATTTAGTAATTTAGAATAGTAAGAAATATAGTCTGGGAATTGGATGATATTAACAGATTATTGTTAAATAAATGTATTAAGTGTGACAGTGTTGTTTTGGCTCAGTAAGAATATGACTTTTTATTTTTTTTAGAAGTGCATACTAAATTTCTTAGTGTCTGTACTGCAGAATTAAGCAAGTGAATAGAATGAGTTAGAAACTCATTACAACTTCCTACACACTTAGAATTTTCCTTAGCATGTATTTACTTAACGGATTGATCCTGCTCATCTTTCTCTCTTTCACCAACATGTAAGCTCTAAAAAGATGGGACTTTTCGTTTATTTTGTTTGCAACTATATTCCCAGTACCTACGACATTATTAGGCACATATTAGGTAGTCAATGAATACTTTTTGAATATATGATTAATTATTTATTATGTAGATTCTTCCCACCTTCCCAACCTCCTAAATCTTCCCAGAGCTCAGTTCTTATTTCTCTTTTCTTCTCTTTTCCTGTACTCTTCCTTTAAAAAATATCATCTATTGGCCGGAGCGGTGGCTCACGCCTGTAATCCCAGCACTTTGGGAGGCAGGCGGGTGGATCACGAGGTCAGGAGATCAAGACCATCCAGGCTAAAACGGTGAAACCCCGGCTCTACTAAAAATACGAAAAATTAGCCGGGCTTGGTGGTGGGCGCCTGTAGTCCCAGCTACTCAGGAGGGTGAGACAGGAGAATGGCGTGAACCCGGGAGGCGGAGCTTGCAGTGAGCCGAGATCGCGCCACGGTACTCCAGCCTGAGCGACAGAGCAAGACTCCGTCTCAAAAAACACAACAAAACAAAAACAAAACAAAACAAAAAATCATTTATTTCTATGACATTAAACATCATGTAAATGCTCATGAATGTATATCTCTGTAAATGTCTCCATTTACAATTACAAAAAAAAAAAAACAAATTTTCCTATTTTTAAAATTTTTCCCCATTCCACATCAGCAAATTCTATCAGCTTGATCTTTAAAATGGATCTGCAAGTAACTTAGGTCTCATTTTCAGAACTACAAGCCTAATCTGAGCCACCAAGGTATGTTTTCTGGTTTACTACAATAGCCAGTCTCCCTGGTCCTACTCTTTTCTCTCCAGTTTATTCTCCTCCCTATGTTGGAGCAATCCTTTCAAAATATAAGCCAGATCTTAGCACTGCCTGGATAATAACTCTTCAGTGATTTTTTAATTTTATCTTGAATAAAATCTAAATTTCTTATCATTATCTAAATGGGCCCATATGACAAATTGTTTGACAATCTCTGATAAGATAATCTCTCTGCTCACTATACTCAACCAACTTGGTCTCCTTGATATCACTTATTGCAAATTAATGGATAAATACGCTCTGATAATTTGAATAACTTCATGCAAATTCAACCAGCTTTTAGTAGCAGACTCTGGTTGCAAAGCTGGTGATTCCAAACCATGCAGCATACAGTTCTCACCTCAGAGTGTAATGTGCCACTGGAAGCAAGTTGGGGACATTAATGAAATTACAGAACATAAAATATTTGGGCTGGGGACAGTGAGGGTTAATATAGTGTGGTCCTGCAAAATAGAAGTGGGCAATAGCTAAATATAGGTGTGTATGCAGTGTGTGTAATATTATGACTAGACCCCAGCAAGATATTGTGGATGAAAGAATGTGGAGAGACAGATATGAATCACCATGTATAAGAATAATGAGAGGCAAAAACGGATACATTTGTCAAAATAGTGTATAGAGAACAGAAATTTGGGTGAGCTTATGTCTTGGGAACTCAGAATCTGAATGGTCATTTGACTTTTTACTTTTTACAACCTTTAAGTAGTAAGGTCTTACTTGTTTCTGGAATACCAGGTCAACATAAACAAGATAAATATACTATTGGCAGGAATACTTCTCATGTTTCTTATAAAGTTACCATGCTCAGTGTAGTAAGTAAACATCCAAAAATACTTTTTTTAAATTTCTAATTTCAAAATCTTTCTATTTATTTATCTTTATAATGTATATTATATGCTTTGTTCCATATTTCATAATGATGTATTTATATAAAATGCAAAAAACAAATTTGATCATAACAATATTTCTGTAGCTGTAATTGTAAAGCAGTATAACATTTAATAAAACAAGATGCTTCTGATTCTTCAGCATTCCCTCAGATAGACATTTCTGAATGACAGTCATGAGATTGTTTCCAAGGTACATGCAAATCATAAGTTATTAAATAATAGTTTTCAGTATAAAATAATTATCCTTGCGGTTTTCATTATGGCACATCCGCCTTGGACAGAAGAAACAAAATCCTGTGACTGACTTAGCTGCAATTAGCAAGTCATTCAGAAATCACATTCATCACTGTCATTTCAGAAGAGTCTAGAAGGAATTGCTTGTGCTATATTTAGCATGCATGAGAGCTGTAAAGTCCAGCCTGTTCATCTTTCTCACGTTTCTGTTTGTTTGCAAAAGCTAGAAAGCTGTAGCCAAGAAGGGCAGGAAGGAAGGTTGGCTTTCAATACCCTTCTTCAGTTCAGCTGAGAACTCCTTTCTATGACTCAATAGCCAGTTCCAAATTACCACATTATTAAAAAAATTTGGTTATCCTGCTTATATTTTCTTCATAGATGATATTACTACATAAATTAATATCTATTAATCAATTTATTTATTATTAATCTCCAATCATTAAACTGATGGATCTCAGAGATCAGTGACTTACAGGTTCTGTTTACTGTTATATCCATTGCCCACATTCCTGGCACATGTCAGGCAATAAAATTCAATTATTGACTAACAAACAGCTTCCTGAAAAAAAGTCAGTTCAGTTTCTTTATTGTGGATTTTTAAAAAATCAACAGAAAACTAGCCCTCATATGCCATTTCTCCAGATAAGAGTAATCTCATTTTTTCACAATGAAGAGGTTATCTTTAGTCTTGAGGTCTATATATACAGAGAGAGAGTAGCAGTAGTGAATACATCTGGTGTCAAGTACAATTAAAATTATGTCATAGGGAGAATTTAAATTTATTCTATAGGAAAAGCAGAGAAACCCTGGGTAAAATTTATGGGGATATTTTTGAGCTTAATATTATATTTGGTATTAATAAAGACATATTTCTCTTTGAGAAAAAAAATAAAAATAGCCCTGGGGCCTGGAATTCTAGTAGGGCCTGAATGCAGGTCTATTTTTCCAACTAGATTTAGTAACGAATAAAGTTGTCAGGGATTGGAATGACCTTGTCCAGATTGTGACACATATTCCATTATTAAAAGTGAAAAAACAGAAGTTAGAATAGCTTTGTGCAGATATACTAAAGAGAATAAAACACTGAATGGAAGATTAGACAACATTACTTCAAGATAACTTGAAATTCTTTTAAAGGGCCTAATATTATTTTTGATTCAAAAAAAGTATTCAAGTAACAGAAAAAAAATTTTGGAGGAAAAAATACCCAGAAAATTGTTACCTGAAATAATTTAAGAATAGAAATCTTTGATTATAAAATACTTCTAATTGCACGCTAATAAAGTAGTTCCATGAGAAATAATTGAAGGCTAAATGGGACATTGTAACACTTTCAAATAGTAGAAAATATGGATGGGATATTTTTAACTTACTAATGATCAGTAAAATAATTGGGAAAAAAGAATTGTGGAAAAATATGGCATTTTATATGGTAGGTAGCACACATATCTTTATTGTTACCTCTCTAATATTAATATAGATTTGAAATTATTTTGGTTAAAGGTTTTCACCAATTACTTAAGTATCTGAAATCGATTATTAAAATGAAATAAGATTATTTTGTGTGTATCACCATTTTAATCATTACAAATTCAATGTTCAATGCTCACTTTGAAAAATTCATTAAGCATGATTTAGGCTCGAGTCTGTATATATGTTTATGGTAACAAAACTGACTTACAATGTTTATTTGTTGTGCTGACAGCTTCCTCCATAAACAGTGTCATTGCTGTCTATGCACCTTAATGTGGCACATTTGGTTGTTTCATCTTACTTTCCCTATATACAACATCTTTTATGTAGATATACAAATAAAATTAAATACACATAGATATATTTAAAATTTTAGCTTCACTAAATTCATTACATTACCTAAAATCCCCTCATTGCATATTAGACACTGTGTATATTAATACATAAAATGATACTAGGTTCAACACCTTAAAATTTTTAACCTAAATTCACTGCTAGGCAGGAGTGTAGGTTCATAAAAGGAAGTTAAACTAAAATAACATACAGCTTTTCTAAAGCAGGAAGAATATGTAAGGCAATTATATTCTCATGATTCCAAGTTGAAATCTGTGCCATTTGGAAGGAAACACAACGCTAAATAGAGACAAAATATTTTGAAAATTGGATAGGATTTTTGTAAAGATTTCAAATAAAATAGAAAAAATATTTTAACTTAAAAGTTGAAAAATGATTTATTTATCAAAGTTTTCTAAGTTATCTGTCAGATGATATAGATATGTTTTGAATAAGTACTAAAGAAATAAGGAGATGAGCTAGTCACCCACAGCCACAGATATTATCCTAAAAACTGTATTATTTGTAATTCTATCATTGAGAATGAAATTTGTTTATATTCCATTTGTATCTCTGTATGCAACTATATACTCTAGTTTTTTTTTATTATTTGTTTGTTTGTTTCGTTTTGTTTTAGAAAAACTGCATGAGAAGACTGCTTACTTCTTTTTTTGTTCAGATGGGGAGCTCACTATGTTGCCCAGGCATATCTAGAAACCTAGGGCTCAAGAAATCCTTCTAACTCAGTCCAGCTTCCCAAGTAGCTAGGATTATAAGCACACACCACAACACTCAGCAAAATTGCTTTTTATTAGGAAACAGTAATATCAATTTTTTTAATGTTAATGTTGAGGTACTTAGTTGAAATCATTAAAACACCAGATTTATGTTTTTGACATTGTAGGCTTTGAGATTTGAAAATTCACCTACCTCAGCCATTCAAGTTGTGTGATATTGGACAATCTCAGCTTCCTTATCTATATAATCTGAATAATAAAATTGCCTCTTTCAAAGAATTATAGTGAATGTTAACTGAGTTTTTGCATAAGAAGTGCTCAGTTCAGTGTCTAATAGATACAAAATTTCTAATAAATGTTTTTTAAAGTATATTCTTCTTAAATTTACTCATATACCTCTGAAACAGGTCTCAAACAACCTCAAAATATCTTAGCCAACATCCACACCAGTTGTTTAGAAGAGAAAATACACCTACACACACACACACACAGACACACACTTTGATTTTTCATTTGAAAGGATACGCTGTAGTTTCAAGTGTATGCAGTATAATTCTAATCACTTTAAAGGTTCTTTCTAATACAATTAGTCTAATGGTTTACTTACTCAGGTAAAACCTTTACCAAACAGCCTTTTATCAGACACTGACTCTATGCAAGTCTACAAGAGTCAAAAAAACAGACATGTTGTCTGCTATTACGGAGCCTTAAAGTCTAATGGAGGTGATTAGTCAAATGTTGGGACCTCCAGTGAATAGTGATATAAAGTCAATAACTTTGAATTCAAGAACAATTATTTGATATGCTGAAACTACCCATTAAAGAAAAACATCACAATTAAATTTTTGTATAATTTTCTTGGAGTATTATTTCCCAAGTCTTTTCTAATATTTAAGTATGCATTTAAAATCAAGCTATTTTAAGATTTGTATATGCTACTACAAAACTAAGTTTCCAGGACATTTTCTGGCAGTTCCTAGACTCATCCCTGAAACTGTGGGCTTGCTGCCATCAATTTTATGGCACAGACTAAAGCAAACAGACGTGAATAAGAGCAAAACCGATAGAATTTGGAAGACTCAAAAAAGAAGCCAATTTGTTTCAAGTTTGAGATTATTTTCTTATCTATAATTAATGCAAAGTCTGCCCCCTTATTAAAATAAGTGTTCTAGTGCCATTATTTGAAAGTACATTTGAGCTTTCTACAGATCATTAGGCTGTCACTCCTCTGGGATTCGTATGATCGCATTCAAATGATAACAGTTGCTTTGTTGTCTCTGGAAGATGAAAATGGGTACAAACATAATGCATCTTCACATTTGGAAATTAGGGAAGACATCTGGATGCACTTGCCCAGCTAATGAATAAAGGGAAAAAGGGAAGAATAAAGGAAGGAAGGAAGGAAGAAAGGAGAGACTGGAGGGAGGGAGGGAGGAAGGAAGGAAGGAAGGAAGGGGGGGAGGGAGGGAGGAAGGAGGGAGGAAGGAAGGAAGGAAGGAAGGGAAGGAGGGAAGGAAGGAAGGGAGGGAAGAAAGAAGGAGGGAAGGAGGGAAGGAAGGAAGGGAGGGAAGAACGAAGGAGGGAAGGAAGGAAGGGAGGGAAGAAGGAAGGAGGGAAGGAGGGAAGGAAGGAAGGGAGGGAAAGAAGGAAGGAAGGGAAAGAAAAAGTTTCTGATTTTCTTTAATATGATTTAGTATTCAGCCCAATTCATTTTCTGAAGTTGGAGGAGGCTAAACATTGCCTCGTATCTCCTCTTTAACTTGCCAGCTAATTATGCAAACCTTTATATCCAAACAATGCAGAGGAAAGAAGACAGAATAATCTTCCAGACCATGAAAGCTTTGTTCATCCATCATACCAACAGTGTACTAAAGATCTTAGAGATCTTTTGTGTGGTAACTCTTTGCCCTTTCAGCTGATGAATAACTGAAGATGTGCAATACAAAGAAATTACTAAAAGAGAACTGTGCACTGGAAACCAATTTGTTTTCATGACTCTATCCAACGACTTTAGTGAAGTATTTAGGAGAGTGGGTTAAGTACACAAGCCTCTTTTAAATACTTATTAAGATTAAAATGTTCACATAATATATAAAAGTATGCTTTAAGTGGGCACTTGATTCCCAGTTAGAAATTTAGGATTAAAAAAACACACTACATCTCAGCAACGGTGAAAATACGTGAAGATTTTGATTTGGATTAAAAAGAAAAAATATTTCTTTGTGCTTAAGGCATTTTATACTCCATTTTATTTCTTGAACAGAACAGAGCTTAACAATACTGACTGACAATATGAACAAGGCTCTTCATTAGGATCTAGTAATAAAACAAATGATTAGAGTAAAGGAAGACTTCTGATACCAGAAATCATTCAAGAAGTCTCACCTTATATGCAGGATTCAGTTTTACATTTTTGTGTGTGTTTTTATTTCCCCTTCAAACCAAATGTTTCTTTCTTACTTATGAGGCATCCACTTTGATAACAGATGTCAAGCTATATTATATCATAATTGGTCTTTGCTTATTGCTAGTGATGAAACCTCATCCAATATTTTTGCATGCCTCCATTTACTACAGCTGTTAATTTTTCTTAAAGTTTGAAAATTATGTGCAGCTAGTATGTCTTCTTCCTAGTATTTTTTTAAATGAAGTGTAATTTGTTCCCCTTTATTAGTGCTGGATGAAAATAAGTCTTCTTTTTTATTTCCTAGAAAGTTTAGCACATTGAAATGTTTTGCCTTTGATCAAATTTGTGTAAAGGATCATACAGATTATATATTTCCTGTGGGGTTCTTCTCTTCTCCTCTTCTCCTCTCCTCTCCCTTTCTCTTCCCTTCTTTTTTCTCATAAAAACCTATATCCAAATTCTCTGTGAAGCTGAGGATGTATTCCAATCCACAAGTCAGGAATGATGAAACAGTAAAAGTTTAATAAGCTACTTGGCCATGGACTCTTATAGCACAGTATATTTAGATACAAGAAATCATCCTTAGTTAATTTATGAATTTTTGCAAATTTCTAAGGTATGCTATTATAATCCTGTCCCTCTAGGTACCTTGATTCCTGCCCAAAAATAGCAAACCTTATTATTTAACTAAGAAAAAAACTGAACAAACTATAATGAATCTAGGGAATTGTTCTTCGGTAATTATTTTTCTCATTTCTACCGTTAGCAATAGAAATGTCTGGAGATGGGAGGAAGCAACTAATAAAAGTGAACTAGATTGAGATATTTGCATTAAATATAATCTAAATTGCAAATAATCCTCTTACATTCTCTATGCACAGCTGCATTATTATACAGTTCACATTGCTTTGGTAACTAATTTTTTCTGCCTTTATTACATCTTCCAGAAAACAAAAAGAATACAGTTATAAAGACCTTCCTAACAAACTATAGTAAGTCAAGATGGAGAATATAAGTGGGCCTTGGAAAATCTGAGTTAGATTTTAGTTTGTGAACAGGCTTAAGAGAAAGTCGTCTATATAATGACTCCTCATCAGCAGATGAAGGACATTGAAGTCAAACGTTTTGCTATGTCACGACACTTGAAGAATCAGTGTGAGTTTTCAATGTGAGTTTTAGAAGATTAATATTTACAAGACATTTTTCTTTAACTTAACACATGAGAAAATGTGAGTTTCTTTTTTAATAAAGTGAAAAGTTTTATTTTAGAACTGATACTGAATTGATCCAAGATACATCCAAAGTTCCGAAAGCTATTCACTTAATTCTTACTGCAAAAACCATTTTTTTCAGTGTATATTTTCCTAGGTTTATGATAGGCACTGGACATGAAAAAATAGATAAGACTGATTTTCTCTGAAGCTCAAAATATAATTTTCAATTTATATAATTTGGCATTGTTACAGTATTTCATTTGTATGTTATAATATAAAATAAAATTTTATATAAATGATATTTGTTCAGTTATTTTGGGTATTTCTAATATTCAATTTGCAGAATACAGAGATGCAAACACACAGACACACACACACATGCACACACACATGTTTGTCTGCTCTATAGGCTGAAAGCTTGTGTGCTTCCAAATTCATATGTTGAAATACTAACTCCCAATGTGATGGTATTAGGTATTAGGAGGTTGGGCCTTGGGAAAGTGATTAGGTGATGAGCGTAGAGCCCTCATGAGTGAGATTAGTGCTCTTATATCAGAGACCTCAAATAGCTCCCTTCTCCCTTCTACTATGTGAGGACACAGCAAAAAGACTGCTGTCTATGAACCAAGAAGTAAGCCCTCTCATCAGACACCAAAGTTGCCAATGCCTTGATTTTGAATTTCCCAGCTTCCAGAATATGAAACATCAATTTCTGTTGTCTGTAAGCTATCCAATGTATGATATTCTGTTATATAATCCCAAGCAGACTATGACAGCTTGTGTATATGTGTGAGTATGCAAAGAAAAAATACTTACATTTTTCTTTTATCTTTAAAGATTCATCTTAGAAGCTTGTAGAAAACCATGAAAGAAAAGGTTTTATAAAACTAACAAATTACCTAGGACATTGCCTTGTGGATTAAAATGGAGCCAGTGTGATTAAATTACTAGTAATGCATTCACGGATTAATATTAAATTGCTGTAATAAAATTCAGTGGATATTAAACTCATTTTATTTGGGTATATAGTTAAGAATAAATACTATAATTAATTTATTTAATTTAAGAAATCTGTGTATTTTTTTTTTTTTATTTGAGATGGAGTGTCGCTCCATCGCCCAGGCTGGAGTGCAGTGGCGCAATCTTGGCTCACTGCAACCTCTGCCTCCCGGGTTCAAGCAATTCTCCTGCCTCAGCCTTCCGAGGAGCTGGGACTACAGGTGCACACCACCACGCCCCGCTATTTTTTTGTATTTTTAGTAGAGACGGGGTTTCACCATATAGGTAAGGCTGGTCTCAAACTCCTTATCCCAGGTGATCCACCGCCTTGGCCTCCCAAAGTGCTGGGATTACAGGCATGAACATGGTAAAAAATGGTTTGCACGTGAGACACTGAAAAGTTGTCCCAGGGTGTCTGATTGCCACAACAAATAGTTACTGGAAGCAGAATTTCACATTACTTGGTTTGGAATACTGTTTTTCTTAAAAATACGGAAATTGTCATTTGTGAACTATTTTCCATGTGGTAGTAGTTTTTAAATGTGAACATTTACTGTGAAGGACGAAGAGGTAACCACACATCAGTTGTGATGTTTCTTACTTATTTTACTCATATTTCTTGCCTGCACACTATGAGTCAGGCACAATTTCAGGCTGTGAACAAAGCAATCAAATGATAGTTTGAATGAGACTTACCCTCTCATGAGAAAAAAGGAAAAAGGACAGCTAAAGTACATAGAAAAATATGAGGTGATAAACACTGACTACTTCAGTTTGGTTCCCAAGGAAGATCTGTCTGAAGAGATGGTAGGAGGAGAATAGGACAAGGAGCTATGCTTTGGGGAAATATAGGCATTGTATATCCTATGAATTGGTATAGTGCATTATGTGTATTTTATAATATTATAGCTGTATTGAAATTTGTAAATTGAGTAACATTGTTAGTGTAGCTGGGAGAACATTACATTAAAAAGCTTAAGACCTAAAGCCATAAAATTACTAGAAGAAAACATATGGAAAACACTTTAGAACATTGATGTAGGCAAAGATGTTATGGCTAAGACTGTAAAAGCACAGGTAACAAAACCAAATTTAGACAAATGGAACTGTATTAAACTAAAAAAATCTTCTTCACAGCAAAAGAAACAATTAACAGAGAAAAGGGACAACCTCCAGAATGAGAAAAAGTATTTGCAAATCAATAAAAGACATTGTTTATAGGAAAAGTAAGATGAAACAACCAAATGTACAACTTTAAGTTGCCCAGACAGCAATGATAGCAGTTTTTGGAGGAAGATATCAGCACAACAAACATTTTAAATCAGTTTTTATTGCAATACACATACATACAGAATTGAACCCATATCATGTTTAATGAATTTTTCAAAGTGAGCATCTAAGAACACTGAATTTGTAACCATTAAAATGGTGATACATACAAATTAATCTATTTTATCTTAGTAATCGATTTGAGATTCTTAGTTAATTGGTGAAAACCTTTGACCAAAATAATTTCAAATCTATATTAATATTAGAGAGGTAACAATAAAGATATGTTTGCTACCTTCCACTTATAATGGCATCTTGTTTTTCAATAATTCTTTTCTCCCAATTATTTTACTAATCATTACTAAGTAAAAATATCCCATTCATGTTTTCTAGTATTTGAGTTTTATGATGTCGCAATTCAGCCCTCAAGTATTTCTCATGGAAGCACTTTATTTTATTAGCATATAATCAGAAGTATTTTATAATCAAAGATTTTTTATTCTTAAATTGTTTCGGTTAACTCTTTTCCGGGTAATTTTTCCTAAAAGAAAATTTTCCGTTACTTAGATTTTTTTTATCAAAAGTAATATTATGCCCTTTAAATGAATTTGAAGTTTCCTTGAAGTAATATTGTCTAATCTCCTATTCAGTACAAAGCTATTCTAACTTTTGTTATTTTTTCACTTTTAATCATGGAATGTGTGTCACATTCTAGGCAAGGTCATTCCAATAAAAAAATGCATGTTAAGTAAGAACTGGTGGATCTAATTGAAACGCAGAGATTCTATCAGTAAAATCAAGAGTAACTACAAATTTCCAGCTGCGTACTTACCATCTCCATTTGGATGTAAAATTTAACACGTGAACTTAACATGTGAACTCTTTATTTTATTTTATTTTATTTTATTTTATTTTATTTTATTTTTTGAGATGGAGCCTCGCTCCGTCACCCAGGGTGGAGTCAGTGGCAAGATCTCAGTTCACTGCAACCTCTGTCTCCCAGGTTCAAGCCATTCTCCTGCCTCAGCCTCCCGAGTAGCTGGGATCACAGGCATGATCATATCGGGTAATTTTTGTATTTTCAGTAGAGACGGGGTTTCACCACGTTGGCCACTCTGGTCTTGCACTCCTGACCTCAAGTGATCCGCCTGCCTTGGCCTCCCAAAGTGATGGGATTACAAGCGTGAGCCATCATGCCCAGCTGTGAACTCTTGATATTGCATTCCAAACGTGCTCTTCTTGCAGTCTTTCCTATCTCAGCAATGTCAACTACATTCATTCTTCCAGTTTCTCAGGCCAGAATCTTTGGAATCAACCTTGCCTGCTCCTTTCCTCTTTATATCTAATCTATCTGCCAAGTAATGGCTCTACCTACAAAATACATGTAAGATCTGACTAATTATTTCAATTTCTGCCACTACGTCTCTAGTTCAAGCAACCAACACTTCTCACCTAAATTATTTTAGTAGCCTCCTAATTGGTCACCTTGAACCATCTGTAGTTATTCCCAGCACTACAGACAGATGATCTTTTAAACAATGTAAATGAGATCTTATTCTTTCCTTCCCGCCCGCCCCCCAAGATGGAGTCTTGCTCTGTCACCCAGTCTGCAGTGCCATGGTGTGATCTCGGCTCATTGCAACCTCCACCTCCCGGGTTCAAGCCATTCTCCTGCCTCAGCCTCCCGAGTAGCTGGGATTACAGGTGCCCGCCATCACTCCCAGCTAATTTTTGTATTTTTATTAAAGACGGGGTTTCACCATGTTGGCCAGGCTGGTGTTGAACTTCTGACCTCGTGACCTGCCCACCTCGGCCTCCCAAAGTGCTGGATTACAGGCGTGAGCCACCGTGCCTGGCCAGTCTTGTTCTTTCTTTGTGCAAACCCTCCAATTCTTCCCTCTCTTACTCTGAGTAGGCACAAAATGCTTTCAAAGACATACATGGCACTAAATAATGTGAACTTACTGTCCCCTCTCCAACCTCACCTCCTACACTCATTCCCTTGCTCCCTCCACTCTAGTCACACTGTCCCCTTTGCTTTCCTTGGAAAACTCTAAGCACGTGTTTTTCTCATGATCTTTGTTTTCCATCCCTTCTACTGAAATACTATTTCCCCAAACAACTATTTGGCTCATCCCTTCTCTCCTCAAGTCTTCACTTCATTTTCTATTAAATATTACAAAGCTCCCTTACCCAGAGTTAGAGAAAGTCAAGTTTAATCTTCCAGTCTTCGAAATTGGTCCAAGATTTCTCACACCAGTCGTAAGTTTAGGGTCCTTATGGCTACCCTCACTTCAGACTAGCTGTTTACAAATATGGAGTCCCTGTGGACTCTGTCAGATTTTATAACTCAGAAGAGCTATTCATAGAACTCAGAAAAGCCCTGTAATTACAATGACAGTTTTCTTATAGCAAAAAGTTACAAATTAGAACCAGCTGAGGAATGAGACACATAGAGCATCTTGGACTTAGAATGTTCCAAATGCAAAACTTCTCTGTCCTCAGAGATCTATTATCTTCAGGACATCTATTGTGCCGGTGTACTTATGGAGTATTGCCAATCTAAGAAGCTCACCTGTATCTCTAGTTTTTATTGGGATTTTATTACTATATTTAGGCATGATCGATTGAATCATTGTTCGCATGGTTAAAATCAATCTTCAGCTCCTTCCCCTCCATGGAGGTCAGTATGATATCACATGGCTAAAAGTCTCAACTCTCTAATCACATGGACAGTCTTTCTGGCAGGGAGAGACAAAGGACAATCACATGTTTTATTATGGACTCCCTCACCATCCCCCCCTCACACACACACTGATACTTACTCACCCGCCATTTCTATTTATCCCCAGTCCTCATTTTATTATCACTAGCACCTAGTATCATCTAACATATTACATCATTTCTTTATTGATCTTATTTATTGTCTTTCTCATCAAATAAAAATGGCAAGATAAAGGAATTTCTATTTTGTATTTGTTGAATCTCTTACCACTCAAATAATACCTGATCTAGTACACACTTTATAAATATGGTTGAATGAAGGAATGAATCTGTTTTCTAAATTTAGGTCTTCTTATAGCCCTTCTATTCCTTATTTTACAATAGAATATCATTTAAGTGACATGGAATGGAATCTATAAATATTTTAACATTTTAAAATTTATTCAATATATTTTCCTCAAACCTCTTATGACAGTGAAAGATTTCATCTAGACTTTTAATATGTAACTATTAACTATAGCTTCATTTTACTAGATTTTAAAGCTAATTAAAATATATTCTCTCAAAAATTACTATAGCTTACTTAGAAATAACTGTCTCTGAATTCCTAAGGATAATTTTAATTCTCGTTTTAGGCTTAGGTAGGCAGCACTAGGATTCTATAATTCCAAGAATACTTTATTTTTGAAGCTAGATGCATAATTTTTCTTCATATCAGGGCATCCTGAATCAATTGATGTCTTTTTCTTTAATCTGTTCATAAAATGAGTTATCAACTATGTGCTGAAATATCAATGACAAGCAAGTAATTTTCTGTAACACAGATGTAAAAAAAAAGATACTCTGCTTTTTTTTGTTGTTAAGTTAGCTGTGTCTTAAAACCTTTCAAACCTACATATGAAGAAAATTCTAATGGGTGATCTGTAGAGCATTTTGGTATACCACAAAGTAGAAAAAGAACCTGATACTAAGAATAGAACACATACAACTTCATGGAAAGTTTTAGTTATTACTATTTTGAAGTATTTATTTTGTGACGAGAACAAAAAATTCTTTGAGAAATAGCAAAGTCAAGATGTTTAAATTTATGTTATAATTTTGAAATAAAAAATATGTAGTGTTTTGGAATTGTGCATGGTGGAAATATGTTGTATTTCACAAAGCTTTTAATTGATACAGACAGAATTGTCTCTCTTGTTATTTTGTAAGTCTTTGGAGATTTCTTCAAATTATAGAATAAAATACTGCATCACTTCAATAGCTATTTCAATCTTTTGAAATAGCTGCATCTATAGGCAAAGGAATCTTATTATCTCTAAATTACAATTTGGTATGTCATGAGTTATTTCATAGGACAAAGTTTGTTAAATGAACACTCACTGGCAGTGTCATTAGTGCTTTGCTCTTGAACTCAACTACGAGTCAGCTCTGTTTACGTTGCCATTCACAGAAGACAGAAATGAATGCGCAGTTAAAATGGTGCCATAAGTAAAGTAGAGCAGAATTAGAAGAAAACTGGACAATTTAGGAACATAAGAATTGCTGTACTGAATCAGACCATCGGTTCTCCTGGTTTAATATCCAGCCTCCAGCAGCTGTACTTGTTAGTTTCTACAGCTTTAAAAGAAAGAAAAAAGACTACATAATTTACCTAGACAATTGTGCCATCTGTGATCTGGAGAAATTTTCTCCTTGACCTCTCTCAAATAATACCCTAAAGCAGGAGGTTTCAATCTTGCTATGATATTGGTTTAGCTTGAATAGCTCTGATTATTAATAATTCTTATTAAATTATCCAATTCCTCCATAAAATAAACTAGTACATCAAGAAACTGTTTGTCTCTAAAGCTCCTGAATTCATGGTTGAACATGTCTGCATCTATGATAAAATATGAATTTATGGTGCATATTCAATATAAGTTCTTGATGGCAAAAATCTGCCTCTTGATAACCATACTGGATGAATGTTTACTTCTTCCAAATTCTACTGGACTTAGAGACTTTGGCCAAACAAAACAAAACAAAACAAAACAAACTTAGATCGGCTCATACTACTCCAAAATTTCTATCTATTAATAATATACAGAAGGTATCTGAATGATGAAGGATTTTTTGTGTTGAACTTTTAGAAAATTTCAACCAGAGTTTTTCTTAATATGATTTAGCATAAGGTAGAATAAGAGCAAGGAATGAATTACTTATCTTTGTCACTTTAATCTTTTGTTTATGTTAGAAAAGGCTGAAAAACTTTATAGTTTCTTGATTATTCTAAATACCACCTTCAGATCAATATTTCTAAAATATTATGCTCACACTAGCCATTTAGTCAAAAGTTCCTCAAGAGTAGTAAATGCCTACAAGTTCGATTTCAAACAATTTTCCAGGGCTGTTAGACCTTAATGTGACAACACTGATATCCTAAGTCCATATATTCAATTGTATCTCCTTCTATCCTAGAATTCAACAAAACTAGTTTTTTCGTCATTATTTGAACTAAGAAGTAGATTAATCATTAATGTCTATGTTAATTCTATCCCTTTTTCTAGCTTTCCCGACTTTCCTTTCTAGCTCAGGTCCTTATTTCCTCTCTTTCAGCCAGATTCCCATTCCATCAGGTAATTTCCTTTCAAGCATGTAATGACTGCTCCTTCTTCTGAACAATTTGTGGCCCTTTTTTTAGACTCGGTTTATGCTATCTTATGTTGTAGTTCTTTGTTTCCCTGGGTTTTCTTGCTTATAAATTCCCTGAGGAAAACTTTGTGTTTCATATTTATATTTCTAGAGGCTAGATCTGTGTCTAACTCATACTAATAACATAAAGATATATTATAAGGAAATCTACAGATGTAGTGACTGTGTAGAGCCACTTTTAAAAATCTCTGAGTTCCTGTTTGTGTGACCTTGGCATTAATATATTATTGAGTGCTATAAAGGTATAAATGAGCTCAACACTGTAGATATTGAAAAGATAGAGTCGACAGTTATTCATTTTCAAATAACAACTATAAGCATGGGAAATATCATAAAAAGATAATATGAAAGTTTTGAATGAGTTTAGACACATAAAATTGGAAAATAAAAGAATTCCAAGCAAAAGTAACAGCTAGAGCAAAGAGAAGAAATGAAAAAAGGAGGGATTTACTGGGGAACTCTATCTAATTCCCTAACTCCTATTGGCTGGGTGTATAAAAAGAATATCTGAAAATAAATTTGGAAATGTGGGTGGTACCATGTTCATTAACCTTAATATGAAACCACTTAAGAATTATTGAAAGATTTTTAATTAGTAAACAGATCTATGAGATGTTAGCTAAACTTAAAAGTGGGACTGAAAGAAGTTTCCTGGAGTAATGAGATTATTACATAATAAGATTTGTAATTAAACTTGGTCTTAAACTCAAGCAGTATTAATAAGAGTATATAGAATGAAATAGATGCAAAAGATGAGTAAGTGATATGATTCCTTATTGTGAAATTTTTGGGCCTAGGATAAGGGAAGATAATGAAACAAAAGTAACACCACCCTTTGAGCACGTTTAAGTGTGAATGAAGATATATTTTATTGAAATAAAAAATTTCTTCTTCCAATATGTTAAGCAGAAATGCATATAAAAAATTCAACTTTAAATTTCAATTCTTACAATTTTAAATAACATAGTGGTTCTCAGTGCTCAAACCACTAAGCCCAGTTCACATACGTTTCATATCATCAATATATATCCACATTTTTTCTGTCTTAAATTCTTTAAAGCTCTTGTGAACAGTGTTAGAAAACAATATTCTTTTTAATCTAACAATGATTTCAATTTTACTATAATGTCTCTATTTTATTATTTAGGAATCCAAATGAGACTCAGAACAATAGCACAAGCTGGCCTGTCTTCAAAAGCACTGAACAAAAATATCTAACCTTGAATACAGAGTCAACAAGAATAATGACGAAACTACGTGCTCAACAATGTCGATTCTGGACATCATTTTTTCCAAAAGTCTTGGAAATGACAGGTGTGTCTGTTTTTAGTGTTTGGTTATTTAATAGATGATGGGTTATGTAAAAAAGGGATGAAGTATACTCTCCAAGGCACGGTGATGGAGTTACTATATGTATCTCTGACTTTAAAATAACTTGGTTTAATGAACACATTATTTTTAAGACTTTCTTCTATCAAGTTTAGATATGTTTTGAACTCTTACTATATGACCAGTACTTTAGTAGTTAAATAAAGAAAACTAAAATATAGATTTCACCCTGTGGAAATATAAAATAGAAAAAGGAAACTAAAATAGAGCCCTACTTGTTATTCAGATAATCTTTGTGGAATTAATTAATGGACAAAGAAATAAATATATCAAATAATCATAATGTATGGAACTAAAAAATAAGATGCATAAATTGGTAAAAACAGATTTATTGATAAATAATAGAACCTTGATTTAAATGGAGAAAAAAACTCCGAAGTTTACATATTTAAAAACACAATAAAAAATTTCTAAATATTCTGAACTTGGAAATATTTATCTAAGAGCACACACGCACATTACATAATATGATATGATATAATATTACATATTATAAACAAATAGTTATTTAGTTAACTAGTCTTAAGGAAGTGATTGGTGAGAAATGGGTAAGGAAATACGATGAAAATTTGTTCAGATTATTATCTCAATATTCATTATTAAGAAAATATTTCAATCCACTTGAGTGATCAAACATGTGTCACCTTAGTTTGATCTTCTCTGACAAATATGACATATATCCAACTCACTGTCTAGATTTTAAAATTTCAGCTGTTTATAATCCATGTGGTTCCTTAAGTATACTTTCTGAAAGTAATTGATTTTCAGCCATCAGACATATTGCTGGTCAGGTCCTTCAGAGTTTGCTATTCTGCTCATCATGACGATCTGTAATTTTCAGGCTGTATATTTGGTATCATAATACAGTAGATGTTTTCCATTTCTTGTTTAGATAAGTTGTGGGCTAGTTTCAGCAAATATGGGCATCTCAGAGCTGTATTTGATTGCTTAATATGCCTTTTGATTATCAGACATTACTCACAAAAATTATAATTATGTACTCCATCTGCTTGGGAAATGTTTCTGATATACCAGTGCTCTGTGTATTACCAAATGTTCTGTGACATAATATATAACCAGGGATGGGATTCTGCTTCTCTTGGCAGAGCAACAGTGCCATCCTTTTGTCCTCCGGGTGTAAATAACGATGAGGTAACTCATTAATATGCCAAGAGACCCAAAGAGATACTATCATTTATCATATCACATACTATATATTATTAATCTTTATTTAAAATATTTTTATATGAGAGGGTTATAATTTGAGATATAATGAGTGGGTTATTTTAAGTGACTTATTTATTATAAGCCAAGCTGAGCCCTTCTGGTTAAATCATGTGTGATCTATTGCAATTTATGCGATGATACAATAAAATTTGAATATCAGCATTTTAAAAAACTATCCTTCACAAATTTCTATTTCCAAATACTTACCTGCCAGAAAGCAGATTAAATAAACAAACTCCAAAGTTTTTGCCAGCTGCTGCTATTTCCCATACAATGTTGAACAAATTCCTAGCTTGTGTAACGCTGAGCTCTATGGAAATACCTACCTAGCTGTGGTCTAGGACCATGCTTAAGGTTAGGTTCAGTGTGTCTTGAAAATATAATTTTGTATTATACCATTTTTTCTAATTAATTCCCCCATAATAAGGTTTTCATATTAGATATATTTTATAATTTTGAAGTAAATGCACGATACAATTATTGTAACATGTATTCACTAGTAATAAAAATGTTACATTTGAACAAAATCAGTTTGAAGTTACAAGGATTTAGGTTTTATAAATAAATAGTGTGGACAGATTAAAAAGATTAAGGGCCCATGTTCTTGCCATATCTTATATTTTTCAAGTCACAAAACTTCAAATATTTTAATCTTTAATGTTTTGAGAATGCGTTAGTCAGATGACCTGGGCTAAAGTTTTTGGAATTTTTTTTAAAGCAACTTTATACCTAAAGAAAAATTTCAAAGAATAACTACTAGCTGGCTTTCTTAAAAGGAAAAATGTTTACCTTACTCAAGATGGAAGCCCAATAAGCTTTGTAAGTACCACCTCAGCAATAGTTTACGTTTGAGCAATAAATGTTCTCAAATAAAATGATTCTTGAAACTTGTTTAAACACACAAATTCTAACACTTAACTTTCAGACCATACTTCAGCACATGGCTATGCTGTTATTGCATGCACCTGCAAGAAATAAAATTCACAATATTTATTTCAAATGTTATCAAATTCAGATTTCCACAAGGATACAACTATTCAATATTACAATATCATAACTATTTGAAAAAAGAAAAAGAAGTAGAAAAATGACCCACTGTCAAGGATAATAATATTTTTTCACTAAAAGTGGAAGAGTAAATTTATTTAAAGAACAGAAGTCCTTCATATTATCCTAATGAAGAAAAAAAGTTAGATCCAATAATTCCTCCATTGACCTTTGAATAAATCATGCTTGCCAACACTAAAAAGCACGTGTAAATTTAAGGGCCAAAATACCCTTTGAACTGGTTACTTTGAAAATCATTTACTACTATTTGCTAATCAGTTAGCAAGACTGGCAGTCAAGGATGAGGGAGTGCAAAGGTGATTTGGAGAAAATGTTGAAACTAGTTTATTGTCTTAATATGCCTGAATTATCAATTCCTCATTAAAAGCAAAACAAAACAAATAAACAAGTGGCTTCGAATAACTTAATAATCAAGTTAAATTAACTGTTCCACTTTAAACTACATGAAGTCTTCACAAAGCCTAGCCTAAGTTTATACTAGTTCACTCTATGTTCTTACCCCATGCTCAAAATTACGACAGAACAATTAATGATTGAGATTTATTGCATAAAGAAATATGCATTCCATGATAAGTTTAATAACTGATCAAAAACAGAAAAATAATAATGTGATGGAGACAGATTTTCAGTGAACACTCAAATACATGAAGAATGTTGTTGTTTCTTAATTATGATGGCAGACTTAATTAAATATCAGTATAATCTCTCCTATCTTCACCTCCACTAGCAATTGTGGGTTAATTCACCTTTGCATTCTCTTCTGCTAGGGTCTGAATGTTTGTGTCCCCCTAAAATTCATATGTTGACATCCTAACCACTAAGGTGCTGGTATTAGAAGGTGAATCGTTGCGGGAGGTGATGAGTTCATGGAGAAAAAGCCTGTTTAAAAGGGATTAATGCTTTAAAAAAAAAATCCTGAGGGAACTCCCCCATTCTTCCATGTGAGAACATAGCAATGAGACTGCCATCTATGAACCAGAAAGCAGGTCCTCATCAGACAACAGTCTACGTTGCTTGATCTTAGATGGAAGTATAATCTGCTGGAAAGCCTCCTCAATTGTGAAAAATAAATTGCTGTTGTATATAAGCTATCCAGTGTATGATGTTTTGTTATGGCAGTCTGAATGGACTAAAATATTTTCTAATTCCTTAGACTTTGTTAAATAGACTTAGCTCTGGTGAAAATTTACTCAGTGTCCTTTTTGGCTAGACAAAAAACAACAACCACACACAAAAAACTTATCATTATTATTTTCATAGAAGAGAAAACGATTTTTTTTCCAAATGTGACAATACATGCAAAACAAAGATCACAAAGAAGTGAACTCAAAAAGTTATGCCAATGTGTTTATAAATTTACCGTTTCACAAATTGCCTTCCACGACTATTCCCTTCTCTTTACCCTGTGAGGCATTAAACAAAAAATTGATTCCCATCTTTTCTATCTCCCCAAAACCCACACACAAAGCAAGTTGTCTCTGTTTTACAATCACAACAAGACTTGGTGACATTTGAAATAATCTTAAAGTACTAAAATCATTCATATTACTGAGTTGGTTAAAAAGGATATTATTATTGATTTAAAATTGGGCATAGAAAGCTGAAGAATAAAAATATAACAAATTAATAGGTCATAGGTATCAAGGTGAATATATATATGTGATATATTCATGTTTATGTAGAGAGCCTCTAACCTCTTATTAGATTTATGTCCTATTAATATGCTTTGAAAATTTATACTAAAATTGCTAGCCTAGGTATAAAGTACTATCATTTTTCCAAGGAATACTCAGGTCAACAATATGAGTTGTTACATTTACTTATGCATATTGTATCATACAAATTCACATTTTCTGTGTGTGTTTATCATTCATCCATTAGGCAATTATTTTTAGAAAATAAAAACTTTATTATTTATTATTTTTCATACCACATAAAAATTTATAATCTGCCAGATTTTAACTGTTTTATGTATATTGAGCCATTTGGTCTTTTGCAGAATTTTCTTTATTTTTTTATTTTACTTTAAGTGCTGCGATACATGTGTAGAACGTGCAGGTTTGTTACATAGGTATACGTGTGTCATGGCGGCTTGTTGAGCCTATCAACACGTCATCTAGGTTTTAAGCCCCGCATGCACTAGCTATATGTCCTAATGCTCTCCCTCCCCTCACCCTCCACCCCCGACTGGCCCCAGTGTGTACTGTTCCCCTCCCTGTGTCCATGTGTTCTCATTGTTCAGCTCCCACTTATGAGTGAGAACATGCAGTATTCGGTTTTCTGTTCCTGTGTTAGTTGTGTTAGTTTGCTGATGATGGTGGCTTCCATCTTCATCCATGTCCCTGCAAAGGACATTATCTCATACTTTTTTATGACTTCATAGTATTCCATGGTATATATGTGCCACATTTTCTTTATCCAGTCTATCACTGATAGGCTTTTGGGTTGGTTTCATGTCTTTGCTGTTGTAAATAGTGCTGCAATAAACATACATGTGCATGGGCTTTATTTATTTATTTTTTTGAGGTGAAGTTTCACTCTTGTTGCCTAGGCTGGAGTGCAATGACGTGATCTTGGCTCACCACAACCTCCATTTCCTGGGTTCAAGCGATGTTCCTGCCTCAGCCTCCTGAGTAGCTGGGATTAGCTGGGATTACAAGCATATGCCACCACGCCTGGCTAATTTTGTATTTTTAGTATAGACAGGGTTTCTCCATGTTGGTCAGGCTGATCTCGAACCCCTGACCTCAGGTGATCCACCTACCTCGGCCTCCCAAAGTGCAGGGATTAAATGTGTGAGCCACTGCACCTAGTTGTGCATGGGTTTTTATAGTTGCATAATTTATATTCCTTTGGGTATACACCCAGTAATGGGATTGCTGGGTCAAATGATATTTCTGGTTCCAGATCCTTGAGGCATTGCCACACTGTCTTCCACAATGGTTGAACTAATTTATATTCCCACCAATAGCGTAAAAGGATTCCTATTTCTCCACAGCCTCACCAGCATCTATTGTTTCTTGACTTTATAATAATTGCCTTTCTGACTGGTGTGAGATGGTATCTCATTGTGGTTTTGATTTTTATTTCTCCAATGATCAGTGATGTTGAGCTTTTTTTCATACATTTGTTGGCCACATAAATGTCTTCTTTTGAGAAGTGTCTGTTCGTATTATGTGCCCACTTTTTGATGGGGTTGTTTGCTTTTCTCTTATAAATTTGTTTAAATTCCTTGTAGATTCTGGATATTAGAACTTTGTCAGATGGATAGATTGCAGAAATGTTCTCTCATTCTGTAGGTTGCCTGTTCACTCTGATGATAGTTTATTTTGCTGTGCAAAAGCTCTTTAGTTTAATTATACCCTATTTGTCAATTTTGGCTTTGGCTGCAATTGCTTTTGACATTTTCGTCATGAAGTCTTTGTCCATGCCTTGTTCCTGAATGGTACTGCTTAGATTTTCTTCTAGAATTGTTATTTTTTGAGGTTTTACCATCAAGTCTTTAATCCATCTTGAGTTAATCTTTGTATAAAGTGTAAGGAAGGAGTCCAGTTTCAGTTTTCTGCATATGGCTAACCAGTTTTCCCAGCACCATTTATTAGATAGGGAATCTTTTCCCCATTCTTGATTTTTCAGGTTTGTCAAAGAACAAATGGTTGTCGATGTATGATGTTATTTCTGAGATTTCTGTTTTGTGTCATTGGTCTATATGTCTCTTTTGGTAGTAATACCATGCTGTTTTGGTTACTATAGCCTTGTAGTATAGTTTGAAGTCAGGTAGCATGATACCTACAGCTTTCTTCTTTTTGCTTAAGATTGTTTTTGCTATGCAGGCTCTTTTTTGGTTACATATTAAATTTAAAGTAGATTTTTCTAATTCTGTGAAGAAAGTCAATAGTAGTTTATGGGAATAGCATTGAATCTATAAATTAATTTGGGCAGTATGGCCATTTTCACAATATTGATTCTTCCTATCCATGAGGATGAAATGTTTTTCCATTTGTTTATGTACTCTTAGTTCATTGAGCAATGGTTTGTAGTTCTCCTTGAAGAGGTCTTTAACATCCTTTGTTAGCTGTGTTCCTACATAGTTTATTCTCTTTGTAGCAATTGTGAATGGAGTTCATTCATGATTTGGCTCTCTGCTTGTCTATTATTGGTGTATAGGAATGCTTGTGATTTCTGCACATTGATTTTGTACACTGAGACTGCTGAATTTGCTTATCAGCTTCAGGAGGTTTTGGGCTAAGACGATGGGGTTTCCTAAACATAGAATCATGTTGTCTACGAACAAAGACAACTTGACTTCCTTTCTTTTTATTTGAATACCCTTTCTTTCTCTTGTCTGATTGCCCTGGCCAGAACTCCCAATACTATGTTGAATAGGAGTGAGAGACGGCATCCTTGTCTTGTGCCGGTTTTCAAAGGGAATGCTTCCAGCTTTTGCCCATTTAATATGATATTGGCTATGGGTTTGTCATAAATAGCTCTTATTATTTTGAGATATGTTCCATCAATACCTAGTTTATTGAGAATTTTTAACATGAGGTGATGTTGAATTTCATTGAAGGCCATTTCCCTTGCAGAATTTTCAAACAGTTTCTTTTCCTACAGAGTGGAAAATGTACTTGCATCCGTAGTACGAGATTAATATGTTGTCAAAATTACAATCAGTATGAGTAATGCTGGTATAATCCCCTCTCCAAAACACCACTTAACATTTTTGTTAAAGCCAACATAAGTATTTTGTGGGTGGGGAGGGTGACTGGTTTGCAAAATGTTTATTAATGAAAATTAATGTGAAATATTCCTAATAGCAATTACCCACAAAAATATAAAAAATGGAAAGAGAAAAAAAATTATAAATAGACATTTGTGGTGGTTTTAAATGGGTTATCTTTCCTAGGTAGTTGACAGTTAACTAGTTTCTGAATGTTTTCTGGACATCTTATCAGATGTATAACAAGATACCTAATAGAAATATAATTTATCTTTTAAAAAGTCTTTTTTGTCAACTAATTTGATAACATTTACAGAGCCTATATGCTGCTACTGTGAGCCAGGAACTGCACTAGCAGCTAGAGCTGCACAGATGAAAATGACAGGGTCTGCTTACTCACAGTGAAGTGGAGTCAGGGCCCAGGACCATGGAAAGCTTTTAAGAAGAGAAGATACCTGCACTGAATCTCAATGTGAAGGCAAAGTGGAGAGAAGCCAGATAAGCAGGAACCAGAGATGAAGTGTCTTGTGCATCATGCTAAAGAATTTAAATTATATTCTGAGTAAAGCCATTTAGTAATTTTAAATGAGAAACTGATATGTTCTGGTTATTGATTCATAAATGTATAATCTTTTACTATATTCACGAGTTATTCTTTTTTACCTTTGTCTTCTTAGAGTCTAGATTGTAAGAATATTATATGGCATCAACATAATAATTTCATTTCTGAGGTAGGGTCTTTCTTCCAAATAGCTGCTTTTGTTTGCTGGTTCATTCGCATCAGGAATATATTCACTTCTCTTATATTTATTTTATTTTATTTATGCTTTAAAAATTATTGTAAACTGGCTTTTTCTTGTTTTAGTGTAAAAGTATTTACTAGTAAATTTGCCTCTGAATGCAAATTTGGAAATATCATCTATGTTTGCATAAACAGTTGACTCTGGAAAAACAATCTGGGGGTTAGGGGCACCAACCCCTGCACAGTTGAAAATCTGCCTGTAACTCTTGAATCCCCCAAAATTTAACTACTGATTAAGTTGACTAATTAAGCCTACTTGACTGGACCTTACCAATAATGTAAACATTTGATTAACATATTTTATGAATAATATTTTTATTATATGCTATATTATTATAATAAAGTAAGCTAGTGTAAAGAAAATGAAAATCATAAGAGAGAAAATATATTTACTACTTATTGAGTGGAAGTTGATCATCACAAAGGTTTTCATACTTGTCATCTTCACATTGAGTAGGCTGAGGAGTAGGAGGAGGGGAAAAGGAGCTGTTGGTCTCGCTGTCTCTGGATTGACAGAGGTGGAAGAAAATCCACATGTAAGTGGACTTGTGCAGTTCAGACTCATGTTGTTCAAGGTCAACTGTGTGTATATTTTTTACCTTTTCTTTTAAACATTTGTACTTGCAAATTTGCTTTGCCCCTGCACACAGAGATTTGCTTTGGAGAAACTTGTTTTTAATATCTCTATACATATGTGTACGTTATAAATATTCACAAACTATCTTAAGTATTAGATAATCTTTTTAGTTGATATGTCTATTTGATCATTCGAAATCTTGACATAAATTTTTATTTTGTAAACATAGATTATACAGTTCCCTATTTTACATATTTATATATTTATTAAATACAAATTTAATAAGCTTTATTGGGGTGATAACTAATGTAACACATTATTTTTAACACATTATTTTTCTTTGGCAAAAAGTAAATTATCTGTCTCTAAGGTTACATATGTTTTAAATCAACTGTATTCTTACTACATAGTTATATGAATAAGGTCCTCAATGTCCTTATTTATTTCTGCTCTATTTTTATTTAAGAAATAATAAAGTTGCATGAAATTCTACAAGAATGAAGATATTTCTCTGAAAAATAGTTACGAGAATTGTAAGCTTTATTAATATTGAGGATTTAAAATCCTATTAATATATACTTATTTACTCATTTATTTTTTGGCCTTGATTTTTACCATGCCTGCTATACATTTGCCAACTCTATTTTTTTCTTTTATTTACATTTCTGCTATATATTTGCCCTTGTCCTTTTATCTTCACTTCTCTATATTACCGTATTTTACATGTATTATTTAAATGCCATCAGCTGAGGTCAATGGATAAATACTATGTGACCTATTGTTGATATTATGAATTAAGACACTTTTTATACATATTATTATATAGTATGATCATTGTAGTATGAATAAAGAGGACTTTATATTTACTCTCTACATAAGAATCTGGAAAGGTCAATCGATTCATTTTTCTTTATAAAATATAATTAAAACCATAATATATTATGGTAGTCTTTCCATTATGTTCACAGTGTCCAAAACACAAAATGTTACCACTATAAAGAAGAAAAAATAATAATAAAACTCTTTCTACAAGTTAGGGTTCTTTATTTCTAAAATTAATTTTTATCTTGTTTAAAGAAAACGTCACATCAATATTTGACCTGTGAATTTAGTATCAAGCCTCCACTTTCTTTTTCTCTTTTCTACACATTTCCTTTTCTTCTCTCATTCAGAATTTGATTATTTTTTCCCTTTCTCATAAAAAATATTTACACTTAGAGAATGACAATCAACATTGCTATTATCATTATATTTGTGGACTTTCAGACACCATGAGGCATGAAAAGAAACATTGGTGGCAGCATTATTCTTTCTTTGTATCTCTGAATTCATACAAAATATATATTGATCCCCTTCACAATAAGTACATTGAGTTAGAAGCCTGCATTTTGGTTGAGGTTACAATTCTAAGAAACTTACATTGTTTGAGCATTATGACTGTTCTACAATATAATTATGTTTTAATTAATCAATTGTAAAGCAAATACATTGCCTACCATAAAGGTCTTTATCCTCTCAAATTTTAAATAAGTTAAAATTTGCTAATCAAGTTTAATCCTTGTTTATAATGTGCCAGCCCTAAATTTTTTATTATGATGTTCCAGCCACTTAAGTTACATGGTTTTTAATCATGAATATTGCTGATGTTGATAATAATGTGAAAATTGACTTGTGACTAGATTTTGTCTTCTTAGTAATAAACAAGCCAATATGAAATAAGAAGACAAAGAAAGAGAGGCGGACTAAGAAAAGAAGGAGAGGAAAGAGGAAAACGTTTAATTTTGATTTTGATTTACTTCAAACTCAATATTTTATTTACTCATTACGGTGTATTCACTTTCTCTGGATTTCATTAGGAAATAATTAAATGTTTCATATTTTATTGTCTCAATCAATGCCCCCTATTTCTAAAGCAGATTTAGATTTATAGAGCATTTGTGAACTAAAAAGCATTTCAAAATACTAAATTGTATAGACATTTGATAAGACACATAGGAAAAAATGTAAATTTATGTAAATCAGTGATTTTGGTATTATTCCATGAATAAAAAAGGAAAATCAGATCTAGGACTCTTTCTATAAGGATTAAAATTCATGGTCTAAATTTTAAATTACCAAAAATTTATTTATCAAGAAAAATTTTTTCTGGAATTTAGAGTTTTTATTTTATATAAGTAAGATTTAAAACAACATTTTGTTATTTTTTAAAAGACCATAAAAATGGATAATTTGGTATGATATTTAACATCTTTCTTCCACATCTAATCTTTTTTGACCCTTTATAGAAGTTCTATTATTCACCAAAAAATTGTGATTATAGTGACTGATCTTTTTAAAAGCCATTTTTACATGAAAGTGAAACACTTTATGTAAACTTTCAAATATTTTTCCAATGTCCAAGCATTGTGAACATTTCAAACCTAAATATATCCTAAATTACAAGGGATATTGTAATGTCTGCAAAAAGGTTTAAATATTTTTATTTTTGTACTAGCTTAAAATTAGTCACTAAATTTTCTCCTCCAAAGTAATATCTTACAAAGTTTAATTAATTTCAAAGATTTCTAACTGAAAAGTATATATTAAAAGAGTTGCCAGCCCCTATTTTCAGTATACATGAAATTACTTAAAATTTTTTGTTAGTTTAATGACTGTAGCTTAGCATTCTAAAAGTTTAAAAAGAAAACCACAGTTATATATATTGCTTATTATGCCTTTATACCAGGAACAAAAATATGTGTCTTAAAACATTGTAATTTAATAGTTTTTACTGTTCACAATCTGTATTTTTTAACAATACACTTCCAAATAAATCAGAATTTCAAAGTTCTTGAAGTATATAGACCATTAGTGGTTCACTGCCTCACGCTATTCCTACCTACACACCCCTTTCTCCTAACACATGCATATACTTTGCAAACTACTTGAAAGCAGGAATTATCTGAATCATCTTTCTATTTTACAACACAATTAATAAACTGCTTTCAAGGTAAGTGGCTGAAACAATGACTTAATGTTGTTTCCCATTAAAATGTATTGGCCAGGGATGGTGGTTCATGACTATTCCCAGCACTTTGGGAGGCTGAGGCAGGTGGATCACCTGAGGTCAGGAGGTCGAGACCAGCCTGGCCAACCAACATGGTGAAACCCCATCTCTACCAAAAGTACAAAAATTAGCCAAACATGGTGGTGCACGCGCCTGTAATCCCAGCTACTCGGGAGTCTGAGGAGGGAGAATCTCTTGAACCCAGGAGGCAGAGGTTGCGGTGAGCCAAGATGGCGCCATTGCACTCCAGCCTGGGTGGCAAGAGTGAACTCTGTCTCAAAAAAAAATAAATAAATAAAATAAAACATTGTATTATAATAAGGGTAAAATCTATGTGGAATGATAATTAAAAAGTTATCCTTATGCATTAATAAATACAGTATGACCTTTGTATTTGCGGGTTACACATCCATGGATTTAACCAACCACGAGTCAAAAACATTTGATAAATAAATACATCTATACTAAACATATACAGACCTTTTTTTCTTATCATTATTCCTTAAACAATATAATATAATAAACATTTACACAGCACTTTCATTATATTAGGTATGAATTATCTAGGGATGTGCATGGCTTATGTGAAAATGTTATGCTATTTTACATTAGGGACTTGAGTATGAGAGGATTTTGGTATCCCTGAGAGGTCCTAGAACCAACTCCCCACAAATACTAAGGATGACTGTAGTCATATATAATTTTCATCAGAAATAATTATCTGTTATATAACTATATATGTAAATGAGACCATTAAATGAAATTTGTGTTATTTTAAAGTGGGTCAAGAAAAGAGCATAATATCTACATATCCTCTTGAAAACTAAAGAAAATATATGTAATGTAATTATACATAATACAATATATAAACTCATTTTCCATTTTATATGTTATACGTTATATAAATTATATATACATTATTTGCATTTTCACATAATCTGTAAAGATTTTATTAAAATCTCTTTTCAGGCAAAGCGAGCTAATAACAAATAATAAAGAATAAATAAAGAAAATAATGCTGTACTGTGTAGTTAGAGAAAATGGCTTTTGTATTCGAAATTATTTTTCAGTTAATGAAACAGATAAAAATTTTGATTAATACAACTTATTCCATATTTTACAGGAAATATTGATGAAGCAGAATGGGAGTGGAAAGCAGGATTCCATCGCTGGAACAATTACATGATGGACTGGAAAAATCAATTTAACGATTACACTAGCAAGAAAGAAAGTTGTGTGGGTCTCTAATTAATAGATTTACCCTTTATAGAACATATTTTCCTTTAGATCAAGGCAAAAATATCAGGAGCTTTTTTACACACCTACTAAAAAAGTTATTATGTAGCTGAAACAAAAATGCCAGAAGGATAATATTGATTCCTCACATCTTTAACTTAGTATTTTACCTAGCATTTCAAAACCCAAATGGCTAGAACGTGTTTAATTAAATTTCACAATATAAAGTTCTACAGTTAATTATGTGCATATTAAAACAATGGCCTGGTTCAATTTCTTTCTTTCCTTAATAAATTTAAGTTTTTCCCCCCAAAATTATCAGTGCTCTGCTTTTAGTCACGTGTATTTTCATTACCACTCGTAAAAAGGTATCTTTTTTAAATGAATTAAATATTGAAACACTGTACACCATAGTTTACAATATTATGTTTCCTAATTAAAATAAGAATTGAATGTCAATATGAGATATTAAAATAAGCACAGAAAATCATTGGTCTCTTTGTTTTTTATATAAAGGCAAGAAAGAATCTTAAAATGAGAGGCTCAGCCACTTTAAAACACCTTATAATAGAAACAGAATGCTGCTACCAAGAAACAAAATATAAAATAATGTAATTATTTATGTAATGCCTTCAAATTATATTCTTCATTTGACTCTTGCTCTCCCTCACCTCCTCTATCCTCAAATCACCACAAACATGTACATATGTGAATTACCTTTCCGTAATTCAAAAATTTTTAAAAAGTGGGTGCATAGAAGTCTAAAGTTAGGTTGTGTACCATCTGGGACAGGGCAACCCTTGCCTGGACCCAGAAATATTAACATATTAATAGGAAAATTGTTCAATTCCAGAAGAGAAATGGTTGTACTTTCTGTAGACAAACTGTCTTATTTTTGCAATTAAAAAAATTACAGAGCTGCATTTATTAGCATGCTTGGCAAGGGAGCACATGCCATTGAATAAATTCACTGAGTAGTTTACTAAAGGAGAGAAGTCAGAGTATTTTAAGTTCCAAAACAAAGGAGTGTATATTGTTTATGCTAATTAAGCATTGAAAATTTGCCTTCAGGATAGGACAAATTGAATGTGTAGGTCTGTGTACTGATGGTTAAAGCATGCCCTATTGTTTCTTTGTTTTTTTGTTTTGTTTTGTTTTGTTTTGTTTTTTTGAGACGGAGTCTCCCTCTGTCGCCCAGGCTGGAGTGCAATGGTACAATCTCAGCTCACTGCAACTTCTGCCTCCCAGGTTCAAGCAATTCTCCTGCCTCAGCCTCCCAAATAGCTGGGATTACAGGTGTGTGCCACCACGCCAGGCTAATTTTTGTATTTTTAGTAGAGAAGGTGTTTCACCATGTTGGCCATGGTGGTCTCAAACTCCTGACCTCAAGTTATCCACCGGCCTTGACCTCCCAAAGTGCTGGGATTACAGGCATGAGCCACTGTGCCTGGCTGCAAGCCCCATTGTTTATTGGTCAAAAAGTGTCTATAGTTAGATACAGTATGGGTCTGCCATCTTCACTCAGTCACTCAAAGTTCATGGTACCCTAGATACAGTTATAATAAGAGCCAAGTCAGTGTTTATATTACTTATGAGTTATTGTAAATAAAGATAAAGATATTTGCTTTATAGCTTCTCCCTCATTCTGAGAAAAAACAACCACACACAGGATAGATGGGTTATTATACTCACCATCTTTGTTTCAGGTGTCATTCTTTCTGGATTCCACTATGTTTTTCTCAATCATTTAAGTCTCCTTTTGATGTAGAATACTCTGATATATAAAACAGGATGACACCTGTTCAACACCATTAAAGATGCTTTAAAAATATACTTGTTAAGATTAATCATTAGGAAAACAACAAATGTTCATAGAACATCTGTAAACTGCTTGATATGACAAGTCCTAGTCATAGGAAAAGATCCTGTGAACTACTTTGTCCCATCTTGGACAACCAATTGGTGTGCTCTTGAATTATATCTAGACATTCCTTGACTTATTGTAATGCATTTAGCCAAATGCAACAAGAAGTGTTAGCCAGCACATAAACCTCTGCCTGTTTGTTCTATAAAAATCTAACATGAATCTACTTTTCCCAGCACTGTTGCAGAAATCTAGGTTAAGATTATAACAACAACAACAACAAACCCACAAAAAAGTTGCCTAACAGAATCTATGTGAATTTCTTTACTGATATCACCACGTAAAGGTCAGTTTAGAGGGAGGATTCTAATACAGGGACTCCCAAGTGATGGTAGAAACATGGAAGTCAGTATCTTTGGCTTCTCCTTGGTACTTCAGTGGGCACATAGACGACAAGAAGTTTGGTGAATTTAAACATTAACAGTGTGTAAGTATTAAAACACCAAATGGAATAAAACCCTTCCTACAGGGCAGACTGTGGTGAGATGTTATCTTAGCATAAACACACAAAGCCACAGGCATTTGTATTCGATACAAAGCCACAGGGGCTATTACCTAATTTTGGTAAACTTTTTAGGTATATTTCTCCAAAGTGTGAGAGAAAATTAGCTCTAAGTTTAGAAAAGAACAAGTGTAGTAAGTCCAACCAGTATCAGGGCATTTAGCCCAATCGGTTTTTTAAGTACTGGAAAGTAATTATTCTTTATCATTTGGTATTTATGTAGTATTATAAGATTAACATAACAAGTCACATTCCTTAAAAAAATTACAGCTTTGGTATTTATGTAGTATTATAAGATTAACATAACAAGTCACATTCCTTAAAAAAATTACAGCTAGTTGTGTTTTTCCAGAAATTGGCTGCTGAATATTATTAGCATGCAGAGCATATTAGTCCATTCTTGCACTACTATAAAGAAATATGTAAGACTGGGTAATTTATAAAGAAAAGAGGTTTAATTGGCTCACAGTTCCACAAGCTGTACAGGAAGAATGATGGCTTCTGGAAAGGATGCAGAAAATTTTCAGTCATGGTGCAAAGTGAAGGGGAAGCAGGCACGTCCTACATGGATGGAGCAGGAGGAAGAGAGAACAAGGGGCAAGTGCCACACATTTTTAAATAACCAGATTTTGTGTGAACTCACTCACTATACAGTACCAAGGGGGATGTTACTAAATCAGTTACAAGAACTTCACTCCCATGATCCAGTCACCTCCCACCAGGCCTCACTTCCAACACTGGGGATTACAATTTCACATGAGATTTGGGTGGGCACACAGATCCAAACAATATTGAAGAGAATAATTTTTAAAATTAAGGTAATTAATTTCTGGCCAATACAAAACTAAATTTCATAGATAAATTTTAACATAATTTTAATTATGACATTTATGAATAATATTCTAATAAATAGAACTTTCCTGACATTGCTGAAGAGGGGTGAAAAACTCGATACTTAGTACAATTTCTTGTTGCAGCTGTAGTCATACTGGATTCAATATTCTCTATAATGTAAACAGTGTGTTTTAAAATGAGACGATCAAGAAAAAAATAGGGTTTATTTTTTGACTAAACATACTTAATGTAAATGTAAATCTGAAGCACTATTTATCAACACCATCTTGGTGATACCTTCGGACTGTAAAAGAATAAAGCTAGGACACCAGTTTTATAAATGTATACATGCATATGTACATGTATACTTACATAAGTTTATACATACAGGAGCCTGCTGATGTCCAACATAAGATTACAGTGATGAAAATTTCATTTTATTTTTAAGGAGCCATTCAATAAATGTCTCCACAAGTAGGAAAAAAGAAGGATATTTTGAATCCTAGGAAAGGACAGTCTGTGGTGATCTTATGGAGGTCATCTAATTAAGTATTAAAAAGTAATATAAAATAATATAAAATATTTATATACATACATAATTTTAAAATTAAAATATATAATATAACATATATTAGGGCCAGTTGTCATTTTTGATTGGTCATTTTCAACTGCAGCTGTAACTGGAAAACATTTCTATTTATAAATTAATTGAATAAAAATTATATTACATTGTCAGTAATTGAGTAAAAAATATTATCAACAAAAATAGGAAGGCATTACTGTTTTAATGGAGGAAGAAATAATAAAAATATCTATATAGCCACACTGAAATTTAATAGTATATCCAAAAGTAAACAATATCTGTAATTCAGAATTTTTTGAAAAGTGAGAGAGTGAGTGAGAAATTTTCCTCTACAGTTAGCCATTAGTCCCCAGATTCAATGAGGTTAACTTATCTTGACCTGTCTTTCATCTGGTTAAAAATCACGCCATTAGAGTTTGCAGTAGAAAGAGGAGGCAGAGCAAGATGGCAGAACAGAAGCTACTACAGGATAGTCCCCCGCCCCCACAAAGACACCAATTTAACAACCGTCTACACAACAAAAGCAAGTTCATGAGAACCAAAAATGAGGTGAGTTCTCACAGTACCTGGCGTTAGTTTTGTATAACTAATAAAGACTCTGAAGAAGTAGAAAAAACAGGCTTGAATGGAGACACCACCCCTCCCCCACTCCTTAGCAGCTGTGATGTGGTGTGGGGAACATTTCTGTGCACTGCGGGAGGGAGAGTGTAGCAATTGTGAGGCATTGAACTCAGTGCTGTTCTGTTATAGCAGAAAGGAAAAGCAGTTAAAATATATCTGATGCCTGTCCACAGAGGGAGCAAACAAGCCCTAGCCAGAGGAGACTTGCTGATTCCAATAGTCAGAATTTGAGTTCCTGCAAGCCTCACCATCACAAGCTAAAGAGCTCTCATGCCTCAAATAAACTTGAAAGGCAGTTTAGGCCACAAGAAGTGCAACTCCTAGGAAAGTTCTAGTACTGAACTGGGTCAAGAGACAGTGAACTTGGTTGCTTGGGGGTTGGGAGAGGAGCTAAAGGAGAGCTAGCAAGCTAGCATCACCTCTCCCCTAACCTCAGGCTGCACAGTTTATAGCTCCAAAAGATACCCTCTCCTTCTGCTTAAGGAGAGGAGAGGCAAGAATAGGGAGGACTTTGTCTTTCATCTTGAATACCAGCTCAGTCACAGCAGGATAGGGCATAGGTCAGAGTCATAAGGCTGCCTTTCCAGGGCCTATCTTCTGGACAACAGTTCCAGACACACCCTGAGCCAGAAGAGAACCTGCTGCCTTGAAGGGAAGGACCAAGTCCTGGTGGTATACATCACCTGATAACTGAAAAGTCCTTGGGCACTGAATAACCAGCAGCAATACCCAGGTACTATGTCGAGGGCCTTGGGTGAGACTCTGAGACTTGCTGGCTTCAAATGAGACTCAGCACATTCCCAGTTGTGGTGGCTATGGAGAGAGCCTACTTATGTTTGAGAAAAGCATAGGTAAACGTAAAGGGGATTTTTGTCTTGCACCTTAGGTACCAGCTCAGCCACGGGGGAATAAAGCACCAAGAAGGCTCTTGGAGTACCTGATTCTAAGCCTTGGCTCTCAGATGGTGATGCTGGACCTGCCTTCTGTTAGAGGGGAGCCTACTGCCCTAAAAAGTGAATGCTAGATGAGGCGGAACTCAGCACAAGCTGACTGAAGAACACTTTGGGCCTTAAAGGAACATCAGCAATAGTCCCCATAGTCCTATGGTGGCAATGGCCACAGGTTCAGGCTCCTCTGCCTCGTAAATTGAAGGAAGAAGTGAAAATAAACTCTCTCTTGTGGTTTGAGTGCAAGCTCATCCACAATACAGTAGAACAAGTGGTCAAGTTCTAAGGTTTTTGACTCTAGTCCTTGTCTCCTGAACAACTCCTCTGGACTTGCCCAGGGCCCGGGAAAGCTTGCCACTCTAAAAGGAAAAACACAGACCTGAATAGTTCTTGTGGAGGTCCAGGGCCTTGAGTGAACATAGGCAGTTGCCAGGGAGTGATTACAGCAGGCCTTGGGTAAGATCCAGTAGTGTGCGGGATTCAGGTTTGACCCAGTGCTGTCATAGTGGTGGTGGCCACAGGGGTGTGTCACTCCACCCCTAGCATCAGGGTCTCAGAACAGAGAGGAAAAATTCTGTTTGTTTGGGAGAAAGTAAGGAAAGAGAATGTGACGCTTTTCCTGGTAATCCAGATATTCCTCCAGGATCTTGTCCAAGACCATTAATGTGGTATGCTATGGGTCTATAAGAACCACAATGTTGCTGAGCTTGGGGTGCACTCTAAAGCAAATACAGCTTAGATCACACCACCTAAGTAATTTCAAATATCTGGAAAGGCTTCTCATGACAAACAGGTACAAATAAGCCTAGACTGCAAAGATTACAATAAATATTCAAGTCTTCAGTGCAGACACAATTGAACATCTCAAGTATCAAAATAATCCAGGACAACATGACATCACCAAATGAGTTAAATGAGGCAGCAGGAACTACTCCCAAAGAAACAGAGATATGTGACATTTCAGACAGAGAATTCAAAATAGCTTTGTTGAAGAAACTCAAAGAAATTCAAGATAATACGGAGAAGGAACTCAGAATTCTATCAGATAAATTTAACAAGGAGATTGAAATGATTAAAAAGAACCAAGCAGAAATTCTGGAGCTAAAAAATGCAGGTGGCATATTGAAAATGCATCAGAGTTGGCTGGGCATGGTGGCTCACGCCTGTAATCCCAGTACTTTGGGAAGCCGAGGTGGGTGGATCACGAGTTCAGGAGTTCAAGACCAGCCTGGCCAAGGCAGTGAAACCTCATCTCTACTAAAAATACAAAAATTAGCTGGGTGCAGTGGCAGGCACCTGTAATCCCAGCTACTGAGGAGGCTGAGGCAGGAGAATCGCTTGAACCCGGGTGGCACAGGTTGCAATGAGCCGAGTTCGTGCCACCGCACTCCAGCCTAGGCAACAGAGTGAGACTCTGTCCAAAAAAAAAAAAAAAATACACCAGAGTCTTTTAATAGCAGAACAAGAAATTAGTGAGCTTAAAGACAGATTATTTTAAAATACACAGTCAGAGGAAACAAAAGGAAAAAGAAGAAAGCAATAAACCATGCCTACAGAACCTAGAAAATAGCCTCAAAGGGGCAAATCTAAGACTTATTGTCCTTAAAGAGAAACTAAAGAAAGAGATAGAAGCAGAAAGTTTATTCAAAGGGATAATAACAGAGAACTTCCCAAACCTAGAAAAAGATAGCAAAATCCAAGTACAAGAAGACTTTAGAACACCAAGCAGATTTAACCCAAAGAAGTCTACCTCAAGGCATTTAATAATCAAACTTCCGAAGGCCAAGGATAAAGAAAGGATAAAAAAGCAGCCCCCCCCCCCCCCAAAAAAAAACCTTATATTGGAGCTCCAATACATCTGGCAGCAGACTTTTCAGTAGATACCTTACAGACCGGTAGAGAGTGGCATGACATAAAGTGCTGAAGGAAAAAAAAAGAAGTTTTAGCCTAAAATAGCATATCTGACAAAAATATCCTTCAAACGTGAAGGAGAAATAGACTTCCTCAAACAACAACAACAACAACAAAAAGCCAAGGGATTTCACCAACAGCAGATGTGTCCTATAAGAAATGCTAAAGGGAGTACTTCAACCAGAAAGAAAAAGACTTTAATGAACAATAAGTAATCACCTGGAGGTACAAAACTTACTGGTAATAGTGAGTACATAGAAAAACACAAAATACTATAACAACGTAACTGTTGTGTGTAAACTATTCTTATTCTAAGTAGAAAGTCTAAACAATGATCCAATAAAAATAACTACAAAACTTCTCAAACATAGAGCAATAAGATATAAATAGAAACAACAAAAAGTTACAAAGTGTGGGGACAAAATTAAGGCATAGAGCTTTCATTAGTTTTCTTTTTACTTGTTTGTTTATGCATACAGTGTTAAATTGTTATCAGCTTAAAATAGTGGATTATAAAATAGTATTCACAATCCTTATGGTAAACTCAAACCAGAAAACATACAATGGACTCATAAAAAATAAAAAGCAAGAAACTAAATCATATCACCACAGAAAATCACCTTCATAAAAAAGAAGCCTGGAGAAAAATAAAGAAAAAAGAGAAGACCACAAGAAAAAAAATAAAGTAACAAGAATAAGTTTTTACTTATCTTTAATAACATTGAATGCAAATGGATTAAACTCTCCATTCAAGAGACATACACTGGCTGGATGGATAAAAGAAAACAAGACTCATTGAGCTGCTGCCTACAAGAAACACACTTTACTTAAAACACAAAAATAAATGGAAAATAAAGGATTGGAATAACATATTTCATGCCAATGGAAACCAAAAGAGAGCATGAGTCACTACACTTATATCAGATAAAATAGATTTGAAGAGCAAAATATAAGAAAAGACAAAGTCAATATATAATTATAAAGAGGTCAATTCAGCAAGAGGATATAACAAATGCAACTTTCTATGCACCCAACATAGGAGCACCCTGATATATAAAGCAAATATGATTAGAGCTAAAGCGAGAGAGAGACTCACATACAATAATGGTTGAAGACTTCAACACCCTACCTTCAATACTGAACAGATCTTTCAGACAGAAAATCAGCGAAGAAACATTGGGCTTAATGTGCACTATAGGCCAAATGGACATAATACACATTTACGGAACATTTCATCCAAGAGCTGCAGAATACACATTCTTTTCCTCAGCACATGGATTACTCCCAATGAAAGACCTTATGTTATATCATAAAACAAGTCTTAAAACATTCAACAAATTGAAGTAATATCAAGCATCTTTGACCACAATGAAATAAAACTAGAAATCAATAACAAGAGGAGTTTTGGAAACTATAAATACAAGGAAATTAAGTAATGTGCTCCTCAAGGACCAGTGGATCAATGAAGAAATTAAAAAGAAAATTGAAAAATTTGATAATGGAAACATGACATACCAAAATCTATGGGATGCAGTGAAAGCAGTACTAAGAGGAAAGTTTGTAGCTATAAGTGCCTACATCAAAAAGAAAAGCTTCAAATAAACAACTTAACAATGCATCTTAAAGAACTAGAAAAGCAAGAGCAAACCAAACCCCAAATTAATACAAGAAAATAAATCATAAAGATCAGAGCAGAAATGAATAAAATTGAAATGAAAACAGTACAAAAGACTAATGAAACAAAAAGTTGATTTTTTTGAAAATTATAAACAAAATTGACATAGCTATAGCCAGACTAAGTTAGAAAAAAAGAGGGAAGATACAAATAAATAAAATCTGAGATGAAAAATGAGACATTAAAACTGATACTGAAGAATTTCAAAGGATCATTAGTGGCTACTTTGAGCAATTATACACCAATAAATTGGAAAATTTAGATGAAATAGACAAATCCCTAGACACATATAACTTACCAAGATCGAACTGTGAAGTAATCCGAAACCTGACCAATAACAAGTAATGGGGTTGAAGCCACAATAAAAACTATCCCAAGAAAGAAAAGCCCAGGAACTGACAGCTTCACTGCTGAATTCTACCAAACATTTAAAGGAGAAATAATAGCAATCTTACACAAACCATTCTAAAAAAAAAAGAAGGTAGAATACTTCAATCTTATTCAATAAGGCCAGTAATACCGTGATACCAAAACCAGACAAAACAACAAACAAACAAAAAAAATCAAAAAAGAAAGAAAAAGAAAAAAGAAAGAAAGAAAGGAAGGAAGAAAGAAAGAAAGAAAGAAAGACTGACTTCAGGCCAATATCTCTGATGAATATTGATGCAAAAATCCTCAATAAAATACTAGCAAACCAAAACCAACAATACATTAAATAAACTACTTGTAATTCCCAAGTGGGATTTATTCCTGAGATGCAAGGATGGTTTAAAATACACAAATAAATAAGTGTGATACATCATATGAATAGAATAAAATACAAAATCAGTATCATCATTTGAATTGATACTGAAAAACCATTTGATAAAGTTTAGCATCCCTTCATGATAAAAATCCTCAAAAATAGGGTTTAGGAAGAACATATCTCAATTACATAAAATTGCAAAACACAAAATTTTCATACAAAAATCAGTAGCATTTCTACATGCCAACAGTGAACAATCTGAAAAAAAATTAAAAAGTAATCGCATTTTCAATAGCCACAAATAATATTAAATACCTAGGAAGTAACATAACCAAATCCGTGAAAGATCTCAATAACAAAAACTATAAAACACTGATGAAATAAATTAAAGGAGATACAAAAATGGAAAAATATTCCATGTTCATGGATTAGAAGCATCAGTATTGTTAAAATGTCCATAATATCCAAAGCAATCTACAGATTCAATGCAATCCTTATCAAAATACCAATGACATTCTTCACATAAATAGAATAAAGAACCCCCAAATTTTGTGGAGCCACAAAACACCCAGAATAACAAAAACTATCCTAACAAAAAGGATCAAAACTGGAGGAATCATATTACCTGACTTCCCAAAGCAAGCTACAGTGCTTTAGTAACCATACTAAACTCTGGATATCCAGCGATATCAGGGTTTTCCCCTGGCCATAGGCCTTGACTTCTCTTTTCTTAAAGCAGTTAGTTGCTGTAGAAAACTTGCAATTTTTTGTATCTGCCCCTTTGAAACATAAAGAAATCTTCTTCCAGCCTCTTACCAGTTTTATAATCCAGGATATTATGGTTTTCTCAAGGACTGGGGAAATAATCACTTTAATATGTTAACATCAAAAGAGATAGTGTTTCCATTCTCCCAATGTAAGTATGAAGGCAAAAACCTAACTTCAATGGGCACCAATTTCCAAACACAGATGGTCCAATCACTGTGAAAAACATTCGCAAACTGGGGAATTACTCAATGTGCTCTGCACATCCCACTGATTAACCCTCTTCTAATGCCCTCTAGTACTTTCCCACTAGCTCACCTCAGCACTTAAAAACCATGTTTTTTTGTTTCAATAAAGTTAAGTTCAGTCTTACTCCCCTATTGAAATAGTCTTAAATAAAGTCTTCCTTGTCTGTTTAAACTTTATCTGGTGCATTTTTTACTTTGACAGTAACCAAAATCCAACACTTCTTAAAGTGCCTAGGGCACATTCTAAATTTTACCGATTTTCTATTACCATATCAGGAGAATAAAAATATGTGCCTACAGCAGAATTCCTTTAGAAACAGTGATTCCCTTGACAATCTAATGAAGTGAGTAGCAGAACCTGAATTTATAAGAAGTCTTGAATACCTACTTTTTGTGTAATCTTTTGCTAATATCTTTTAGACCCCAGGCAGATAGTAATTTGCATACCCATGTTAATCTCAAGTTGTTGGCATTTGCATTTTTAGTATTTATTAATGTTGTCAGAGTTTTTTTTCCTTCTTCTTCCCTTCTATATCAAATTTAAGTTTTCATGGTTATACTGTTTTCCTGACAGAATGACTCTGAACAAATTAATTACTTTATTTTGTATAAAGGGTTTCTTTTCTTTCTTTTTCCATTAATGCAAAGGAATAACTAGAGAGCTTGAGTCCTGGTCTAAAAGTCACTGGTGATTTAAAGGATTACACTTACATCTGTAATGCAAATTTTCATTATATCTTAGGCCTTTGGGAACCGGCCCTGGAAAATAACATTCTGCCAGAAAAAGAGTTATCAGGAAGCTAAAATGACACGTTTTAGAGATACTGACTTGCAAAGACCCCCTTCAAAGGCACTGTGTATAATTATATATTTGTAAGTTTATATTATTTTTCTTAGAGTGGGTTCCCTAAAGAGTCTGAGTTTCAGGATGCATAAAACTTGGTTTTGCTCTTGTTTTTCAACACATCAATAGGAATTTGTCTTTAGTTTATAGTCTCAGATACAAAGCAACATTTCTAGTCCTAGAGGGTGCTTCCTCTCCCATTGCTCTTAAAGACATCTCCCTGGTTTTCTTTTGTTGAAATGTGCTATCTTTGTTTTACAACATTGTAATATGATAATTTTGAAGTTACTATCTTTGTGCAAGGTAATAAATGAATGAAAATCTCAAATGCTAACATCTTCTGTGGCATTTCAATATTAAACTAAATGTGTGCATAATATTCTCTTTGGTAAGTGAATTAACATTTTCACATAACCATGAAAGATAAAATTTTAATAATCTCCCTTGGAGTTGTCTCTTTGAAGTCATGTGCAAAATATTAAATGAGAATTCTAACAGAACACTATTCCTTCTGTCTTTTCAGATTTTGTAAGCTCTCAAAGACAGGAAGTTAGTACCCTTCCCTTCCTCCCAGTTCATAGTGTAACAGCCAGTTAGAGAGGTAGCCATCTACTTATAGTGGATTGAAGGTGACCAAGGAAAGCCTCAAATTCCAAATAATCTAAGGTTCTTGATTAGCAGTTCGCACTGATATATAAAATTCTACCATTTTGCATGCATTCTTCATTGCCTGAAAAACATTCTAACTTTTCTAACTTTGTCTAGTACCTTTTATAACTATTTGTTCAACCTCTTTTTTAACCGCCACTATCCCTTGAAAGGAGAAAAACTCAAACTATTATATGCTAAACTCCTAATGAAAAGTATTTGATGGATCATATCACTATTATCACTGCAATGCATAAGGTGTCAATTTCAGTAAAATAAGTCTAGCTTGGATCCCATCTAAAGATATTCAATGGTGGAATCTTTTGAGACATTTTTCCATTTAGGGTGCTTCTACTGAACAGATTTTAAAAGAAGCCTTAGAGAAGGACTCCTTGGTACCATATAAGAGGACAGGTATCCCAGGTCCTCTATCTTCAAAACAATTTGAGGGTTGTATATTCATGTTCCAATTAATTATCCTCTATTTTTCTTTTTCATTTATCTGTAGAAAATGTTACTAAGATATGTCCTTATTTTAAAAATATGTGTTCATTAAAAAAATCTTAGAAATATGAAAAAATGGAATTATACTGATTAGAGATAACCTCTATTTTTATGATATATTCCCACATGCATGTATTAATGAATGTTTATATTTTGTAAAACTGCATACATATATATTATATATACATATCAAAATATTTCTCAGGATATACTGGGAGATATATATATGTATATATATATATGTGTATATATATATATATATACCCACACACACATTTTTATTTACAATTTAGCAGCTATTATTATTATTGTCCATGTACAGTTTTAGGCACTTGTGATATGACAGTGTTCAAAGCAGAAAAATCTTCTCATGGAATTCACATTCTACTGGTATAGGGTACACAATGAAACAATAAACAAGAAACAGTAAAATTGCATAATGTGAGGGCCATGAATAAAATATAGCAGAGTAAGAAAATAAAGATGTACAATCGGGCAAAGTCTGTTTGATAGCGGATGATATGTCAGCCAAACCTGAAGGAAAGGAGGCCGCAAACTGTGCAAATAACTTGGGGTATATCAGTTCCAACAGAAGAAATAAATGAGAAGGCTCTAGGGAGGCTTCTCCTCATATATCGTGTTTAGAGAATTGCAAGGAGGCATACTGCTGGAGAAAACAAGGGACGCTGGTAGGAGATGAGGATAGGAAGTGGGGAGGGGGCAGATAGGAAGCCATTACAGGGCTTTGAGCAGATGAGCAACAGGATCAGAATTATATGTGACTTCAGAAGGGTCACTCTGGCTCCTTGGAGACTAGCAGGGTAAGTGTGTGATTGGAGGAAGCTATTTAACTATTCTAGACAAGAGAGGATGGTGTGGCCTAACGAAGGTCATAGCTTTGAGAAATGGCAGGTATTATATTTACATTTCTAACCAACAGCTAATAGGATTTGCCAAAAGACAAAGGAATAGACAGCCAATAAGATTTTCTGCCTAAATAACTTGCTGAATAGAGTGACTACTTTCTAAGACTGAGAAAACCATCAGTTCAGCAGGTTTAAATAGAGAAACAACAAGAATTTGTTTCAGGTCATGTTAACTTGCAGTTTCTTATTAGATATCTATAATATCACTTTGTTTAATGAGAGTGGAGTTGAGGGGAGATGTCTGTATTAGTGATAGAAATCAGGGAGTCTCCAATACAAAGATGGTATATAAAGCCATAGGACTGAAAGAGATTACCTAGAGATTGTGTGCAAATCTGGATTGAGCAGACCTGGCACTCCAGGACTGAGACTCAATTTTATGGCATAAAATTGAAAGCAATGGCATCAAGCTGTTCTTCTGAAGTCATGCTGCTTCTCTCTGAAGTCAAACCACAGTCTCGGACGTCCAGCTGCTTCTCCCCTTCTCCCCATCTCTGTTCTGAACCCAGTTGGGTCAGGGGTTTTTATGGGTACAGGATGGGGGAAGTAGGGCGGGCTATGGGTGGTTTTAAAAATGGCTGCATTCCAGCATGAAAACAAGAATGCATATTCTCAATTTGAGTCACAGGGTCCCAGGCTTGAGGATGGGGCTTTGCCAGGGACTCAGCACTTTTCTGCCTAGAATTTCTCTGCCTTCCGTCCCTATCATTATTACTACCATCATTATTTTACTTTACTTTAACAATTTTTATTTTGCATTTTATATAGGCTTTCTTATTTCAACTTAATCTTTCCTTACAATTCACTGTTACAGTTTTATAAATGCAGAAATATTCCATTAATTATTTGAAAATAAATTCTTATATATTAATAAATATTTTTTTAAAAATCCAAATACTTCTATAGTAAAAGAATTTCACAAGTAGGTTATCTTTGGTTATATTCATTCCTTTTAAATAAAGGATTTTTTCATAGGCCTATGCTAACACGCTATTATAAAGGTTGAGATGAGTTTTGGCAAAAATTATTGGGGCTTCTTGGTCAAACACTCCAGGCACAAGCAAAGGAAGAAGAGAAAGATTATATTTAATATGACTAATTTATCAATGTGGAAATCCAATATCTTGTAGTGTTTAAAGGAAATTCCAGTGGAGTGCCCTCCCACAGAGGAGATATTTATATGGATTCTAGAGGGTTCTTTCTCAAAATAGGTCAGAGAGACAGAAAATTGCCTTAGCGATGCTACATTTCATTTTGGTTTTCATTGTGTTTTTTTTTTTTTTTTATTTTACTTCATTTTATTTCAGCCTCGAATGAACGTGGTCGTTGGGATCACCGTCAGGGTCTGTTTGCTCTTTGCCTAACTCCCTTTTCAGTAACAGGAAAATTATTAGTTTAAATGGTAGATTCCAAAAGCTTCTGACTGCAGTGGTATAGATTTTTTAAATCTTAAAAATCTGAAGTGACATAGGTTGAGATTGTGTGACTTGGTGCAGAAATTCCTATCTTGGAAAAAGTAATATAACCTGTATATCCTCAAAAAGTTTAGGTAAGTCAATGTGTCAGAGGTCTTACATCAGAATCTCAAAGGGCAATACCCCCCACAAAAAAGTAAGTAATGTGGCTACATTGGTATAAACAGGTAATCATAATACTGGTATTAATTGTTCTATTAAAAGAGGCATCCAAAAATACATGTTAGCATAATCACATAATAGTTACAAGAATTCTAAAACTATTTTTACTGAATCACATTACCCCAGTTTTCAATTCAACTAGTACTTCTAGCAAGGATTTTATTTCTTTGTAATAGACAGAATAACTCTGACATATTTTATTATAACATGCTTATACGTTCAGTAGCATTTAAGGATTGTCTTTATTATTCATTGAAGTATTTTTTAATTAAGAGTTAAGAGGCATAGTTCTAACCCTGAGTTGGAATAAATCAATTCTTTTTTCTCTAATGTATTCAATGCCTCTTCTTTTTATTATCTTAAGATAGCATTGGTTGATGAAGGTCAAGTTGAACAAGCGGGCCCACTAAGCTAAGAGATTTTAAGATGTATACCTAAATATAAAAGTGTATTGTGAATATAATAATTTATTTCAATAGTAAAGTTAGGAAATGATGCCTTAATTTAATAATACCCTAAAATTTTCTGTCTCACACAATGTTTCTGTAAAATGTTGGTCATAGAACTCAACACAAATTTGGAAACTGGCAAAAGATGTACAGGAAAATACTGGGGTGAAAAAGGAAAATAAATGATGAACACAAAAAAACACACAGTAGAAAAAGAAGAATGGTCTAAAGGAGCAGATATAAATTGTGACCAAATATGTTGTTATTCAATAAGAAAATAATAATGCAACAAGAAGTGACATAAATCAGCAATTCAAAGCCCAGAAATAAGAATTCAGGAAAGAGGTAGTAGATTCCAGTGACAATGCATGAGTTAGCAGAACACAGGAAAGACGCAGAAGAAAAAAAATAATCTCTCAGTTGTGAAGTCAACATTAGGGGCAACACAAGTTAGAACAATCATGAATAAAAATAGAATGAAAATACAACAGGACTGAAAAGTAAACTAAATAAAATAAAAGGAAAAAAGTTTTTTTAAAAAACAGATAAAACATGTAAGAAAGATTTTTAAAGAAAATCCAATAAAATCCGCACACTAAAATCTGAAAACCGAAATTGCAGGACAAAAAAAAAATAAAATAAAGATGTAATTAAAGAAAAAAGTGTATTAAATGAAACTTTTGTTTGTAAGTTAAAAAAGAGCACTATTTCTCAACGGGAAAAAAGTGTTAGAGTAGTACATATATTTTAGAAACTCTACTAAGCTTTAAAAAACTCTACTTTATTAGAAAAAGATTAGAAAACAACCTAAGTGTCTACCAGTAAAAAAAGGAATTCAAGTTAATTTGATTTACTCATAAAATGAAGTATCATACAGCAGTTAGATGAGGTAACTCTTTATGTGCTAATATGAAAAAAAACTTCATGATTTTTCTTAAGTTAGAACAAATCAATGTACATAGTATTATATATGTATTACGATTTCTATTTAAAAAAACAATATGCATGACATATATGCTTGAAAATGAATAGATTATCTCTAGAGGCACACATTTAAAAAGTATAACATAACGACAAATACCTGTGGGTAGCGAACAGGATGGCCGTGATACAGATATAAGACTGAGAATGATTTCTCATGTTCTCGTGCCTTTTATACTTTGTAGCATGTGTATATATTACCTATTCAAAACAAATAATGAATTTTAACTTTAAAATGGCTGCCAAACCTGTTTAATTTTTCTCAGGGGAAAAATTACAATAACAACTGAATATCCATACTGTTCCTTTTGGCAGGTGTTTTTCAGCATTTTAATAGATAATGCTAAATATTTCCTTCCAACATGTTTAATGCCTTCAAATACTTGGAATAGCACTTTACTGCTAACTAATCCTGAAGGACCCACGAAGACAGAGGTACTTAAAATTATACATTTGGCAAGGGTTTCACTAAAGTTCCCCAATAATTGGTAACATTTCCAGGGAAATACGCCTCTTCCATGCTCTGTGGTACAGAACTCTGGGATCTCAACCAAGGCATTGGTTCTTTCACAAGAAAGAAAAATAATCAATAAGACCCTTAAATACAAATACAATTTATAGTCTTCAATTTACATAATGGAATGTTAACATGATAACTATGGTTTTCTTCCATCAATATCTGAATCTATATATACCCTAGGTTGTTGGAATGTAAACAAAATAAGCATGAGGACCTGCCTAAAGCCCATGTCATTTCCCCACTTCAATAAGAGGCACCAAAATTTTGGTGTCATAACCACACCCAGACAGAATTCCTTTAACCTTCATGCTACTCGCATGGATTCCTTTCTTTTTTCCATTAACATATAAGGGGAAGTAATAACAAAGAGCAAAAAAACCAGAATAACATGCCCAGTCAGGTTCTTTATCAGATTCTCAGATCTGTTTTCTGATCAAGATAGATGTATCTCTCTGTAGAATTTTCACCATAGAGGCTTCTGTATTTTTTGAATAAAGGAAGTATGACTGTTACACAAAAGATATTATATTTGCCTTTTTTTTATACAGTAAGTCTTTCTCAGTAAAGAAAGTGGTGTCTTGTTTTACATTCTGGCCCACATTTCTTATTTCCATTTCCGACTGCAGCACTCAGAAAGAGCTTACTTAGAAAGGCACTGTGATAGCATATGCCTAGAGGACATCCTTAGGTTGAGTGGTCAGGAGTCAATAACACTTAAATCTGAGATGAAGATGCCAATAATGAGACTGTCATGCAAAAATCTGAGGAAGAGCCTTCTAGGCTAGTGCAAAAACACCAAGACAAAAATAAGCTTATTGTGTTTTAAGAAAAAATTGGAATTTAGAAAAAATAGAAAATCCATAGGAGATGAAGTTGAATCATGTAGGGTCTTATAAGAGCATTAGGTCTTGTTATTTTAAGTTCAGTGGAGAGATATTGGAAGGATAATGAGCATGGTAATAACATGATCTGACATAGATTCAAAAAGATCACTGTGACTCTATGTGACAAATAGATTCTTGGGAAAGGTAGCCCTAGCAGAAACAGGGAGACCAATAAAAAGGCTATTGAAATAGTCCATATAGGAAATGACTTGGGCTGAAATAATTGTGGCTTGAAAGAGAATAGTAGTAGTTAAGTTTCAGATAAGAGAAATAAAATATACTTTGAAGGTGAAATCATCAAAATTTTTAATGTATTAAATATGGAGTGTGAAGGAAATGAGTTCTTGGGAATTGCTAAGATTTTTGGTTTGATTAACTGCATATTGTGGTGGATATTGTGGTGAGATGAGATAGGGAAGCTGAGATGGGGAATTTCAGGAAGTGGAACAAATCTGTGAGCTGAGTGTGTAATTCAAGTGTTCTGTTCTGGACATGCTTATAATTTGCATTGCTTATATTAAAATAAAACTCATACTTCTTAGGATAAATTATTAGATCTTCAATTTTGATCCAGAATCTCTCTCCAACCACCTACCTAGTTAATCCCAATAAAGATACATAAATCTTATCTTCTAAAACCAACTGCTATTTTGTTTTCCTTTGAATTACTAACATCTGCATACTTTCCTAATGAAATATTACACATCCTGTATAGTAAGCATGTATCAGTTTCTTTCTGCAGCTTTCCATGACACTTACCAGGCACAATTGCTTCTCTCTAGGAGTAGTCTTCCACTTTATCTATACATTCTAATAGAAGGTATGAAGAGTGAGTCAGTATTTAATTCATATAAAAATTTCCGGAAACTAGCTCAGCTAGTTTCATACAAGCAAACTTTTGTATGGACTAATGCTGAAAAATAGCTCACAAACAGTATTTTCAGTTCCACCACATATAAGAATAGTAACCACTCTTCCTAGATACATCTTCAAGCAGAAAGGTCAAAGGTATAGTTGGAAAACCAAAGGTATGATTTGAAAACTACTAGCAAAAATATGACTTTTCTCAAAGCAAATCTTTTATAAGTATCTTTCTATTTTTGTTGTAAAACATTTCATTTTGGTTGAAGAAGTTAAAGTACTATCTTCAACTTTTCTCAGTTCCCACTACTTTGCTAGTAGTAGATATTGTATAAAAGAACACAACTATTTCCATTCTAAATTTATATATTTGTAATTAAACCACACTGTTTTTTCTCAACTTGCAGATATGGGTCAAGAATCTAATAGTAATTCAAAAACTAAGAGGCAATGATAGCAGTGGATTTGGCTCAACTGTGGGACCTATTTCAGAGAAGGATGAGTGCCAACTAAATGAGTATGTGCTCTCCCTCTGATTCTTTTTACAACTATAGGAGTCTGCCAAAAATCTGTATATTGCTGGCAGGCAAGCAAAGCCAATCCAAGCACCTGTGTTGCAAAACTCAGCAATTGTTTGATTGCCACTACTGATCCATCTGTGAGACTGGTACTTGCCACATGTCAGATGACTCACATAAAGTGAATTGGAAGGGAAATTCCATTAGATAAGAAGGACAGCAAAATTAATATATAATTTGTTCTTTGTGATTGAAAAAAACTGATAGAAAGTGAGGATTTTACAAATATCAGAATAGATTAGTAATGGCTGTTATGTGACAAAAGGAAAACTTTTAGTTTGAAAAGAAACTAAAAAAAAATTCTATAATTTGAGGAACATAGCCTTTGCTTTCATTAATGACTTGTTACACACAATTGGATTACCAGAATCACTAGCCCAGTAAAGAGGTAAAAGAATGATGTCTTACCAAACAATCCAAAACATTAGGTGAGTTTTATTAATTTAGATTAAGTAACAAAATTTTTATTAACCGAGACTCAACAAAAATTCTTTTTGAGTCAGAACTTGTCTGAGCTGAAAATACCAATATTACATTATCAATGAAAAGCCACTTAATAAAAATATAAATGTAAAAATATTTATGAGAAAATGTTAAAACTTATTTTAAAGGCTTTTCTTGTACATTTTTGTCTGCCAATATCCTAACAATGTATAAATTAAAAATAATATACAACAGCAACTGCCACTTAGATTTGCTGAGCACGTGCCAGATGAGGTGCTACAAGTATTTTATTTTAAGCCTCTTAAAGCTGTTAAAGTTAGAAAACTGGGGCTCAGAGAAGTGACCTATCTCAGCTGTCCAACAAAATGACCTATTTAACATGTTTTAAAGTAAGTTTTCTTTCTCTTTATGTTTTTTTTCTGGCACTATTCATAGTGGTACTTATCCAATAGTACTTAATAAACATTTCAATCTCTAGGCTATGGAGACAGTACAATCCAATAATACTATATTATAAACTGCATGTGCAATATTCTACCAGCTGAGAAAATCAATAGAACACAAAATACCCATGGAATAGGTCAATGAGAAATATGAAGGATAAAAACAAATATTTGTCACAATAAAGTTCAGATGAAAAATGATAAATTTGTATGTTAAGAAGCAAAGTTTCTGGCCAAATCAATTAAATGACAAAGATAATAAATGCTTCCCATATATTTGCTTTAGTCTCTTCAACTTTTAAAAGGGCATTTATTAAAACAAATCTGTAAAAATTTATCCTAAATATCTCAGTGTAGTGAGTACACAGATAATTTATATTTCAGAATTTTGCTCCTCTGTATTTTAAAATACCTACCTATTCACAGTGAAATAAAAAAACTGAAAGGCACATTTATTACCTACTAAAACAATTATCAAGGTATACATTGAACTAGATATTTGAAGTTAAATTAATTTAAAGCAATGTAAAATACTATCATGAAACTAGTAGAATAGATTTTTCTAAATTCTCAAGTGCATAGAAATAATCACTGAGAATGCATTCTTCATGTTAAATTGTGCTGATTAAAAAGGTGTTCAGGTTTTCTAACATTTCATTAGAATAATTTTCATATAGAAATGTTGAAATAATTTTACACCAAAAATTCATATATACACTGTCAACTGTGTAATTAACATTTAATATATTTACTTTTATCAGATATAGCTTCATCTTGATGTATCTGAACATGCCTCTAGGGAACGATTTATTTTATTTTTGATGCATTTCAAAGAAATGTACAGACGTCAGTCTATGTATTTTTGAAATGAGAGAGTTCCCCTGACCCCTTCATAGGACTTGTGAACAGGGTGGCTCATTTACTCAGCCCACAGCTCTCAGCCCCTCACAGGAGGGCAAGCACGGAGGTGAAAGGGTACAGCAGCTGGGGTGAGTGCCTTTGGGCACTGGCAGGAAGGAACCCCTTGCCGGCCCTGCGGTAACATCTAGTGTTGCCTGATGCCTTGGAGGGAGTGTTATAGTGCACTCTCTTAGCTTTGCTGTCTGCGGAAGGTTAAGTGTTTAACAGCTCAGTGTGACAGCTCTCTGTATTCGGAGCTCTTGTTCAGCGTTCAGGAAGAATCAGATTGCACAAATGAATTGAAGATGGTGAATGCAGGAGATTTTATTGCTCATAAAAGTGGCTCTCACTGGGATGGAGAGCTGGAAAGGGAATGGAGCGGGAAAGTGGTCTCCCCCTGCAGTTTGGCCATCCCCCACCAAACTCTTCCCCAAATTCCTGCCGTCAAGCTGTCCCCCTGAAGTCAAGCTGCTTCTCTCTGACATCTGGCTGCTTTTTCTCTTCTCTTCTTCTCTGCCACTCCACCACTCTGCCAGTGGAGCCTGGAGTTTTTATGGGTACAGGATGGGGGAAGGGCAGGCCAAAAACAGCATTCAAGTGGGAAAACAAGAATTCATGCTCTCACTTTGGGCCTTGGTCCCAGGATTGAGGGTGTGGCCCTCGCTGGGGTCCACCCTCTTCTACCCAGTATTTCCCTGCCTCCTGTCCGTATCATTTACACATACTTCAACATGCATATTATTAACTAGAGTTCAATATTTATTTTCAGTGATTTTGTCATTGTTGTTTTTGAGGTAAACTGCACATCCAGTTAAATGCATAAATCTTTAGTGCTGCTTTCAACGAATCCTGACAAACGCATCTAGATGTTAGTTTAATATGGACTTAAGATCATCTTCTTGTTATTTTCTCAATGTCTTTCTAGTTTGGTGGATTGAGGGCTATAAATAAAAGGCATACAATCAACATTAATAAATGACATTTTATGAGCACTTTCTCAATATATATCTAGAATTCTAATATGTAAGCAAAAGAAACCAATGCAAATGGATCAAAATCTTTTCCGCCTAAGCAGCAAAGAAATTTACTAAAAATGTTTTGAGTTTACATGTTTCCATTGAAGGGCATTGAAAAGATGGTACTAGGAAGGTAGAAGAGTCAGGCTTTGACACAAGTGGAAGCCAAAACCATGGTAATAACTAGGATGATTAAACCTGGTCAGGGAAGACACAGTATAACAGATACTGAATACTGCCACAGATGCCATCATTAGCTGGAATAAGTTCATTCTGAAGCAGCTAGCTACCATGGCCCACCACCAAAATGAGTTTACTCTGTTTCTATTCATAACTCTACATTGTGATGCACAGTCCTTGGTGGATTCTCCTTATTGGTCCACCTACATTATATGTAGTATGGAAACTCTAACTGTAAGAATTTAGCAATTTTTTAACTTCTATAGTGCATGAAGGAGTTTAGCGTCCCAACAAGAACCATAAAGAAAGACATTTTCTAAATATTGAAGTGAAGTTCATATGATTAGCACCAAAAAATTACAAGTATTCAGTAAACATGCATAATTTTTTTTTCTGCTAAAGAATCCTGTAAAGTCATAACTAGGGGTTATAGAGATAAAGAGCAAAGTACTTTTCTTGTTATCACACACCACTCAGCACAATGCTTCTGACAGCAGAGTCTCCAGCAGACACCAGCTATGTGTCCTATAATTCAGTTCTGACATGGAGATATTTGTCACCTATACTTTTGACCTATCAGCTATAAATTGGAGTTCTCAAAACTATCTTCTTGAGTTTGACTGATTTGGCATGATGGCTCCCAGAACTCAGTGAAATGTTTACTAGTTTAATAAAGAAGGATATAATAAAGGCTACAGATGAATAGTCAGATGAAGAAATACATAGGGTACAGTATGAAAGGGTCCCAAACACAGGAGCTTCTGTTCCCATGTGATTGGGGTGAGTCACTCTTCTGTCATGCAGATGTCTTTGTCAACCTAGAAACTCTCTGAACACCATGTTTCAAAGATTTTTTTGAGGCTTCATCACATAGGCATGATTGATTATTAACTACTTTTCTAGTCATTCTCCCCTCTCCAGAGAATGGGGAGCTCCAAGCTTCTCATCATGGCTTGGTCTTTCTGGTAACAAACCCCCATCCAAGAGCCCACCAAGATTTGCTTCATTTGAAGAAGATATGCTCTTATTATCCAGGAAATTCCAAGGGACTCAGAAGCTCTGTGCAGGAATTTGGGGGGTTAAAGACCAAACATTAGATAAAATGATCCTGCTTAGCACGTCTATCATTCAGAAAATTTTTAGTTTTAGGAGCTCTGTGCCAAGGACTGGGGGCAGAGACCAATATGTATGTATATATATTATTATTTCACACAGGGCCATCAAATACTCTTAGTTTATGGATGAAGGAACCTTATTTAGACAGCTAATGCTTTGCGAATTTGTTCTGGTTTAAATGGTGAGTTCCTGTCAAATTAGAACAGTAAGACCTCTCCATCTGGACACAGTAGAAGGGATGTGAAACCTGTTGAGGTTAGACTAGGGAGGTATAGGCCAAATAGTTCCTGAGCAAGGATTCTAGACATTTAATCTCTATTATGACACCCCTCTACAATAAAGGAGTCTGAACTTGAAAGCAAAAGGCAGCTTTTATCATCTCCCAGAGGAAGCTGGTCATCAGTAAGACTGAACAGGCCCAGGTAATAATTGGAGAGAAAACACTGATGACAATCATATCGGCAGTTCCACTTATTTTCCTGAGTCCTGGCCACATGAGGCCCTCATGAACTATGAATTACCCTTATTTTCTACTCTAGTCATAAATTGTCCTTTTAGGCCAGGAGTGGTGGCTCACATCTGTAATCCCAGCACTTTCAGAGGCTGAGGCAGGCAGATTACTTGAGGCCAGGAGTCCGAGACTACCCTGGCCAACATGGTGAAACCCCATCTCTACTAAAAAAAAGTAAAAAAAAATTAGCCAGACACGATGGCACACGCCTTTAATTAGAACTATGCAGGAGACTGAGGCAGGAGAATCACTTCAATGTGGGAGGTGGAGGTTGCAGCGAGCCAAGATGGGGCCACTGCACTCCAGCCTGGGCAACAGAGTGATAGTCTGTCTCAAAAAAAAAAAAAAAAAGAAAGAAAGAAAGAAATCCTTTTGATTAAGCAATTCCCAGTGGGTTTGTTATTTGCCAGTTTGGGTTATAATCATTACATTAATTATTGCTAGATAATCCTGATCTTAAACCTCCGTTTACCCTACATTGCAGAAATATATCCGAATTTATTAAATGTGGACCTCAACATATTTCAACAATAATCTTTCATGTAATTAATACTAAATGTATTCCCTTCTTAATAAATAATGCCATAGAATAATTACTTTCTTTTAAAGCAAGGAATACCTGCTTGTACTTTTAGAAGTAGATGTGAGCTCAAAAAAGAAGCAAGAAGTACAGAAGGACCATCTCTTCCTCATTTAAATTATTATCCATTTTATCTTCTCCACCCTGTTTCTATAAAACATTAATAAGGCTGTACATCTGAGCTCTTATGTCTTTGTAACTGTACATAGATTTGGACTCTACAAAAGATTGACTCCAAATATGGCATTTTCTTGCTACAAGTAATGTGCGTAGAAGAGGCAATAATTTATCTCTGCAAGCTCTCATCCCATAATAATTTATTCCAAGGCCTTGGCAGCTCATACGTCAAGCACTATTAATAGAAAACTGTGCAAGTAGTGTAGGTGGCACTTTCAGTTAGTAATGCTGTAGTTAATTTCTTTAATTTATAAAGTATTTATAAATCTCATCTTTGCAGAGCTGCTGAAATCTTGTAGGCAGAAACCAGGTATCTCCTTATCTCAGAGCCTTCCAAATTCTATCAACTCCTGTAGCCTGAATGATCACTTATATTCCTCCTACTAATTCCATGTGTGATCCTCCCACCATCGATCACTGTATTTTATGAAATAGCTGTTTATATTTATGGCTCATAATTAAGAATTATTTTGTTATTCCAATTACTCTAGAGCAGTTTCTTTTCTTCTTTACTTACAGAGGATCTGAGGGCTTGCTACCATCCAGATTCCTAGGCTCTATCCTACCACTGTCAGCAGAACTTTCAACTTTTACCTTTATAACTTCCCTATATTTATGTGATACTGGTATAACCATATCAGCCTTATCATGCTCAGAGTTGGTATAGTATAACTTCTTTCATCCGCTTATTTTCAACTATACTGTGTTCTAATAAAATACTATTTATAGACGTAAGTAGGAATTTCATATAATTTTTCACATCATACAATATTTTCCTCTTTTGATTTTTTTCACAATAATTTTAAATGTAAAAAACCACACTCAGCTTGTGGGTCATCCAAAAACAGTCAGTGGGCTGAGTTTAGCCCCGAGACCAGTGTTTGCCAACCTCACTCTAAAACACAAAATAAAGTTGATGATATTGCAAATGTTTAATTTAATATTTATAGTTTATTTTTATTTGCTTAATTGATACTTATTCTCTAAATCAGGCAAGGCACTGCAGAATTGTAAAAGTAAAGAAGTAACTCAGGCAGGATTCTAAAATTTCAACAGAAGAAATAATACATACAAATATATAGATAATCCAATATTGGATGTGGTGAGTGACAAAATGGTATTATATAGAACACTGGGTAGTGATTTGAGGTTTAGTTGAGATAGAATTTTCATGCTATAAAACGCACAGATAAATGTATAGCCTGAGGTGCTTGACAAATTTGTAGACCTGCAAAACCACCATCCCAATCAAAACCAAACAAAATTTGCATTACCCTGAGAAAATATTATTTGTCCCTTTAGAGTCAAACCTCTATCAAGAGCAACCACTATTGAGATTTCCCCCAGATTAAATAAATATTTGATGTTCTAGGAAATTATGTAAATAAAATTGTATAGTGTGTTCCTCAAACAACAATTGTGGATTTATTTATTTTCCCTTTTAGTTCTGCCTGTTATTGCTTCATGTTTTGTTGAAGCTCTGTTATTCAGTACATACGAAATTTAATATTTTTAGACCCTTTTGTTAAATGGACTTATGTCATTAAGATGGTCCTAATATCTGATATTAACCCATGTCTTGAAACGTTCTTTGTCTGGTATTAGCACAGCAATATCAGCTTTATTACGCTCTGTATTTACATAATATGTCTTTTCTCATGTTTTTACTTTCAACTTTCCTGTGTTTGCAAAGTTAAAATGCATCTCTTGTAAACTGCCTTTAAATGAGTTTGCCTTATTTATTCAATTTGAGAATCTCTGACTCCTAATTGGATCAATAAATTCTACTTATAATAACATAATTGTCGATATGTTTGAGTTTAATTGGACTCTCTTGTTATTTGTCTTCTATTTTTTATCTCTGTACTTTGTCTCATTTTTCCTCCTTATTTTGCTTTATTTTAAAATAATAGACTATTTTTATCGTTCCATTTTACCTCCTAAATGGAATTTTATTAACTCTTTCAGTTAGTCTTATCATGTTTATTTTAGAAATTATAATATGCTTCCTTAACTTTTAATCTATCTTGAATTAATACCTACCACTTCACAGAAAATGCAAGACCTTTATAGGTCAGAATTGTTTTCAGTCTCACTTTCTTCAACCTGATTAACTTCCTGTAGTGGCTCTTAGATTGCTGGTCAGTTAGTAACATATTCTTGTGGGCTTTTTAATCTAAAGTTTTTCTATGTCACCTTCATTTCGAAGGATACTTTTACTATTAAAATATTCAAGGTAGATGGGTTTGTTTCTCATTTTTGAAAGTACTTTTAATATATCATTTCATTGCTTTCTGCCTTTCATTACTTCTGGTGAGAAATGTTTATTGTTTTTTCACTGCATGCATTATCTTACTTGTTTTTTACTGGCTCCTTTAAGATGCTTTCTTCTATTTGACAATTTTTATTTGTTTTATTTTTTGACAGTTTTTTTTGACAGTTTTTAATTGTGCCTTTATTCAGTTTAATTCATTAAAAATATACTTGTTTTGAGTGGGCAAGGTGCCTCACGCCTGTAATGCCAGAACTTTGGGAGGCCAAGGAGGGTAGATCACCTGAGCTCAGGAGTTCAAGACCAGCCTGGCCAACACGGTGAAACCCTTTCTCTATTAAAAATACAAAAAAAAAAAAAAAAAATTAGCCAAGCATTGTGGCAGGCACCTGTAATCCCAGCTACTCGGGAAGCTGAGACAGGAGAATTGCTTGAACCCAGGAGGTGGAGGTTGCAGTGAGCTGAGATGGTGCCATTGCACTCCAGCCCGGGCAACAAGAGTGAAACTCTGTCTCAAAAAAAAAAAAAAAAAAAAAAAAAAAAAAAAAAAATATATATATATATATATATATATATATATATATATATATATATTTTATATATATAGTTGTTTTAAAGATTCTATAAATAAAGTGATCACCCCACCCACTAACGTGGGATATAGGTCACCCACCACCATGTTACTTATTTATATTTTTAAAGCAGTATTTCTTATAGAAATTGTACTGATCACACAGTAGTTACAATAATGTCACATATAATGATGCATACAATCTCAACGAGACAAGCCAGTTAAGAATTTACGTAACCTAAAAAAACACATGTTAAAAGTTAGCCAAGTAGACAGATGCAAGCAGCGGAGAGAGCAGGTGACAGGAACTTCTTTAGTGATCAGTAGAGGGCCCAGATGTAAGTAATCTTGTTTTCCCTTTTTTTACAGTAAACAGCTTTCACTAGCATACACAGGTATTCCATACACATCTAAACACACAAGAGTAGGTTGTGACCTGCTACACATACAGTCAAAAGTGGTGTAACTGTGCTCTTCCTGTGATACTCCCCCAAAAATGGTAAATAGTGAACCCCATGCAACTTTCTTTATGTCTTATTACTAGTAGTTTGACTATGTAGTGACCCTCACATGGTTTTTATTTTATTTATTTAATTGAGTTTTCTTTCTTCTTAAATGTGTGAGTAAACGTTTTTAAAAATTTTTGAAAATTTTAGCCAGTGTTAATATTTTCCCCATTTTCTCCCCTCCTTTTCGGAAATCATGTACTTTAGGCTTCTTGTTATTATCCTCTAATTCATTTGGGCTCTGTACATTTCTTTCAATTTTTCTATTTGTGTTTATTGATCAAGGCTCTCCAGAAAGACTAAACCAGTAGGGTAAAGAGAGAGAGTTCTTCTCAAATTTCTTTGTCAACAATTTTCTAATTATGTTTGTTCCAAATTCCTGATGATCTAGCCAAACCATTGGTTACAACCCATGAATTGGTATATAATCACATATCTGGCCATGCTTCCTTCCAAGCAAGGTACACAGCCAGGGGCACTGCCCAAAGACCTCCTATCCACTGAAAAGATTCTCTTTCACCATTGTCCTTCAGAGAGGTCCCAGAAAGAGGCTGTAGTGCTGCAGCTGTCCATTTTTGGGTGGTGCCTGAACATTGTAAAGAACCATGCATAAACTAAGCCTTAGTCTTTCCTTCCTCTGTCATCTGATCATAGGATACTCCCTATAAGGCCTAGGTGCAGGCTGGGAGAGAAGGTAGTGTAGTTTGGGTAGGAACCATTGGCATTTAGGCCATTTCTTCATATAACTTACTTGTATCTTCAGGACCTGCTCAGACCCAATCACATATATGCCATTTATATTTGATGATTAAATGATACTGTGCACACCCAAGTTTATGGCTTGGTGAGTCACATAACACTCAGTTTATGACAGGCAACTCAGGTTGCCTGGTAACCTGGTGGTCCGTGGTTAAGCGTTTAGTTCTACTGAGGCCCTGCCTCTCAAAAGGAGAGTAGTTACCGGCAAATAATGAGGGCCTTGCTCCAAAATCCTAGAGGCCTGTCCTGCAATTTATCTATAGAGACTTGCTAAAGGGTCCAAATGGCATCCTTATCTGCCAGTGATACTTAAAACATCACTGATTCTGCTGGATCACATGGCCCAAATGGCAGAGCAGCTTGCACAGCAACCTGGACCTGTTGCAGAGCCCTCTTCTGTTCTGTACTCTAGCCAAAACTGGCAGTTCTTCTGCTCAGTCAGTAAAGGGGCCAGAGCAACACACACAAAGGAGAAATGTGTTGCCTCCAAAATCCAAATAGGCCCACTAGGCAGATGCCTCTTACTTGGTTGTAGAAGGGGCCAAATGTAACAACTTAACCTTCACCTTAGAATATATATACCTTCTCAGGTGGCATGCCCCACACCACTGAACTCCTAGAAATTTCAGTGAAATTGATAGCCTCTGAATTTTAGTCAGATTTTTTTCCCAGCCTCTGACATGCAAATGTATTACTAGTTAAAGTCCATAGTGATTGTTACTTTTTGCTCATTTTGTTCAATCAGCCTGACGGCATCAATGTAATGAACTAGTGTGAAATCCTGTGGAAGGGAAAAAATGATCAAGATCCCTGTTAACTAAATTATAATAGGGCTGGAGAGGTAATATACCTCTGGGGGAGGACAGTGGAGGGGTATTGCTGGCCATGCCAGATGAAAGAAAACTGCTTCTGGTGGACCTTACAGACAGGTATGGAGGAAAAAACAAACAAAAAAACAAACAAAAAAAAAACATTTGCCAGACCAATAATTGCATTCCAGGTACCAAGAGATATGTTAATTTGCTCAAGCAATGAAACCACAACTGGTACAGAGCTGCAATTAGAGTCATTACTTGGTTAAACTCTTGATAATCATGCCATTCTTCAAAATCCATCTGTCTTTGGCACAAGCCAAATAGGAGATGGAATGGAGAAGTGGTGGAAATCCCAATCCCTGCACCTTTCAAGTTCTTGATGGTAGCGCTAATCTCTGCAATCTTTCCAGGAATGCAGTATTGCTTTTGATTTACTATTTTACTAGGTAGCGGAAGCTCTAATGGCTTCTATTTGGCTTTTCACAACATAATAACCCTCATCCCACAGGTTAGGGAACAATTGTAGGACCACTGACAGCTGCTTAGTAGGTCTATCACAATTATGCGTTTTGAAATTAGTTAAATAAACATTGTACACACAGTGAGTCATACCTGGGCTAAAACTCCATCGATCACCTGCCCTTTATAGTCCCCTATTCTGACTTGTGTACTATCAAAAATTTCTTCCTCTAGGGGACTCACCCTCTTCTTCATTTAAGAGATTGTGGCTTGGAAAACTTGCTCAAGTCAGGGGATTGTTTGAGGGGCTATGATTCTTCATTTTTATGATTTGAGTTAGACTTTTGTTCATTTGACTTAAAGGTTGCTGCTTACACAGATCAGGTAAGGATTTAATGGGTTTTCTATCTATTTCACTATTTAGGAGCACTGTGAGTAACTTGCCAATGCCAGAAGTCTATGAGTCAATCTTTTCTAATTGTGGCTTTGCCTCTGCTGTTCATTATGCTAACTATGCCCACCTTGCATTTGGCAGGCTGCCACTTGGTTGCTGACACCCTGGTATACAATTATTCACATTGCATTTAAGTTTTCCAATTGAGTGACTTCAGTTCTCACTGTAACTCTGGCCTAAGGAGAATAGCAATCATAGAGTTCTGGGGTTCCCCTCAGAAATCTAATTTTTTAAGTATTGGTGAAAAGTATGCCTTTTGGAGCTTCCCAGGGTGGGTAACTAGGTTTTAAGTTAAAAGTTTATTCTTTCATTCCAATCTCCCTAGGCCTTTTAAATCTCTTTCTCTATGTTAAATCAAAGGAGATTGTGTATCTTCACCTTGCTCATAGTAGGTCATTTTTTCATCCATGTTTTAGCCAGTTCCCCATATTTCTGCTTGCATAAATTAGAAAACTCAAGTGTTTATTTTCAAGTGTTATGCACTTCTTCATAAGTCACACTTTGTATTTCACTTTTAGGAATCTGCTGGGACTTGAATCTAGTTATAGGTAGAGAAGCAAACAGGGATGTGAGTGGGTCCTGAGGAAAATCAGCATTATCTTTCTTGACAACTGCCTTAGGGGAGGCCCTTACTATTTCCTCAGGCAATATAGGTATAATCCCAAAAGACAGATGTTGAAAGGCTGATATCATTGTGTATGTGGAAGTTATTCCCACTGTGGGTACGGAGGCCACTTCCACTGGTTAAAAAAAAAAAAAAAAGCCATCAGTATTTAGGAGTTTAATGTTCCGAGCTTCATCAGGGTGTTTTCACATCTCCTCATTCCAACTTATAAGATACCACTTTTTTTTCCAACCAATGCCCTGTCTTGAATAGTAGACACTTGCTAGGCTAAGAGCTTAATTTTCATTGTAATTCTGCCAATTGCATGATTAGGGCTTATTTTGACCCTGTGGCTACAGGAAAAGAGATTCTCTCTTAGGACACACATAGAAGCCTTTAGGCTATTGATGTGATGGGAAATTTGATTATCTGAGCTGCCCTTTTTTTCCATCACTTTGTGGAAGGACATTAGAAACAACTAAAATCATCATATTCCTTAGTTTTTCATAAATGTTTGAAAGTTCCATTTACAGAGTCATCAAATTCCTTGCCATTTACAAGTGGTTTTTAGGTATCCAATGCAGGTATTTTGTGTATTTCTATTAACAGGCATGCCACAGATTATCAGTACCATTGGAAGTAGATTTTTTTTGCATTTTAAAGTCTAAGAAGATTAGAAAATAAACTCAAGAAACATCAAAATGAATTGCAAAAACTCACTCTTAAAATTAGGTTCTTCTAGAACCACTTCTGGTATCAAAATTTATATTAGGGTTCTCCAGAGAGACAGACGAATAAGATAGATAGATAGATAGATAGATAGATAGATAGATAGATAGATAGATAGATAGATAGACAGATAAAGAGAGGGCTTATTAGGAAAATTAGATCACATAATTACGAAGGCTGGGAAGTCCTATGATAAGCTGTCTGCAAGCTGGAAAAAAAATGGGGCCAGTAGTGTGGCTCGGTCTTAGTTCGAAGGCCTCAGAACCAGTGGAACTGATGGTATAACTCTCATTCCAAAGCCCAAGGCCTGAGAATCCTGGGTGTTGCTGATGCAAGTCTCAGAGTTCAAAGGCCAGAAATCCTGGAGTTCTGATGTACAAGGGCAGGAGAAGGGTGGCCTAGTTCCAGAAGACAGAGAGAGAAAATTCACCTTCCTTCTGACTTTGCGTTCCATCCAGGCTCTCAGTCAATTGGGTTGTGCCTACCTTCATTAGGGGCGGAACTTCTCCGCTTGGTCCACCAACACAAACGCTAGATTCCTCTGGTAACATGGTCATAGACACACCCAGAAATAATGCTTTACCAGCTACTTAGGTATCCCCAAGTCCAGCCAAGTTGATACTTAAATTAACCATCACGTGGTACTTCAGATTAAACAATTTCTGTTAACTAGTCTCTAAGAATACAGATTCTTTTCTCCGAGATGCCCTGCCATCAATCCCATTTAATAATTTTATTTTAAATATTTTTCCTTTTTAGTTTTAAGATTTGTTTGGTAGTTTTTAAAGATATTTAATCTCTCTCCTGAAATTCCATATGTCTTCACTATAATGTTCATTTACTGATACATTATTTAGCATATTTTAATCATGGTTATGTTGATGTCTTTGTCTATCAATTTCAACAAACATGGTATCTGAGTATCTTTTTCTATTCATTTGTTTTCTTCTTTGATGTGGATTACGTTTTTCTGCTTCCTCATATATCTAGTAAGTTTTAATTATATGCCAAATATTATAGATAATATGTTGTAGGAAGTTTTGATTTTATCTTCATCTTAAGAGTGTAGAATTTTTCTACCTGGAAGTTAAATTATTGGTGAATTTCCTTTACACTGTGAAGGCTTTGTTTCAGAATTTATTAGGGTAAATCTATATTTGCTGTATTATACCTACAATGTAGCTCTACATTGTGAGAAAGGCCCTTACTCCTGAAACATTGGCCTGCCCTTATTTCACTGGAGTTCCCGAAGTGCTTGCCAAGATGTGCCAACTACACAGAACTTAAGTATCAAATTCTGACTTTCTAAGACTGAGAAGCTGCTAATTCTCTGGTCAGATATTTTACCATTACAGCTGTTGCTTTCCAAGTGGTTCCTTGGAGTTAAGCTCTTTGATCTTAAATCTGATCAGTTAAGATGATTTCATCATATTGTTTTCCATTTTATACTAGCATTGATTTTTCCTTTGTAATTAATTACTTTTCCGTAAATTCACACAAACACACATCTTAATTTTCACCAAATGATCCATTAATGTTTCTTACCTGGAGGATTATAATTATTATAAAAGTAATTGCAATTTGATAATATTCTAATTCTATGGTTCCTTCAATATTTTATCTAGTTTTTTTCCATAATAATCAAAAATAACTGTTTAAAAAAAAAGCATTTTCATCTCTTTACAATTTTATGAATAATTATAGTTTCAAGGATTCTTTTTCTTTCTACACAATTTATAAAAACTTTAACTCTCATTTTTTTGATACTCAAATTGTTCAAATACTGTCTACCTAAGCTGTATAGACATCTGTAAAATTTTGATACACCTTCATCAATATTTTAGCTTTTTTTCCTCTTTTCAGTGTAGCAAACATTTCTAGGCTTATTTTTAACTTTTCCTGTCTCATTTATGAAATCAGTCATTGCTCCAAGAAGTTCTGGTTCATTTTAGTGGTTAGCAGCATTTGGAGCACAATTCTGGGTACTGGTATTCTTGTATCTATGATATGTCATTACATCTGGACCTCTTCAGTAGAAGGAGATAGAAAAAAGACAATTTTTTTCTTCTATTAATAAGTAATATTTTACAGATTTATGCAGTACATGTGAGTGTTTGTTACATGCATAGAATGTATAACATTTAAGTCAGAGTCTGTTGGGTATCCATCATCTTGAATGTCTACCACTTTTATGTGTAGTCTTTGGTCTTACATTTAGGTTTTTAATCGACCTTGAGTTGACTTTTGCATATAGTGAGAGATAGGTGTCGTTTTATTCTTCTACATATGGTTATTCAGTTTTCCCAGCACCATTTACTGAAGGGGGTGTCCTTTCCCCAAAGTATGTTTTTAGCAGCTTTGTTAAGGTCAGTCAGTTATAAATATTTGTATTTATTTCTGACTCTGTTCTATTGATCCATGTGTCTGTTTTTATACCAATAACATGCTGTTTTGGTTACTATAGTCTTGTACTGTGTTTTGAAATCACTTACTGTGATGCCTCCAGCTTTGTTCTTTTTGCTCCGGATAGCTTTTTTTATTCAGCCTCTTTTTGGTTCCATATAAATTTCAGGTATAATTTTTATATTCCTGTGAAAAATGATGTTGGTATTATGATAGGAATTGCATTAAATCTGTAGAGTGTGTTCAGAAGTATAATCATTTTAATGATATTAATTGTTTTGATCCATGAGTATAGGATGTCTTTCCATTTTTCTATGGTTTCCTTTTTTTTTTTTTTTTTTTTTTTGAGATGGAGTCTCACTCTGTTGACCAGGCTGGAGTGCAGTAGCATGATCTCAGCTCACCACAACATCTGCTTCCTGCATTCAAGTGATTCTCTTTCTCTTGCCTCAGTCTCCCTAGGAGCTGGGACTACAGGTGTGAGCCTGGCTAATATTTGTATTTTTAGTAGAGATGGGGTTTCCCTATGTTGGCCAGGCTGGTCTTGAACTCCGGACCTCACGTGATCCACCTGCCTCAGCCTCCCAAAATGCTGGGATTACAGGCATGAGCCACCATGCCCAATCCATTTGTCTATGTTTTATAAAATTTCTTTCATCACTGTTTTGTAGTTTTCCTTGTAGAGATCTTTTACCTCTTTGGTTAAATTTATCCATAGGTGTTTTATTTTTCACATAGCAATTGTAAATGAGATTCCTTTCTCTATTTCTTTTTCTGTTATTTCATTATGGTTTTACAGAAACTGTGCCAATGTTTGTATGTCAACATTGTATCTTGCAAATTTACTTAGTTTATCAGTTCTAAAAGTTTTTTTGGTGGAGTCTTTTGTTTGTCTGTTTGTTTAAACATAAGGTCATGCTATCTGTAAAGAGCAACAATTTCAGTTCCACTTTTCAAATGTGAATTCCTTTTATTTCTTTAACATATCTAATTCCTCTGGATAGGAGTTTCAGTACTATGTTGAATAGAAGTGGTGAAAGAGGGGGCATCCTTGTCTTTTAGCTGTTCTTAGGGGAAAGACTTTCAATTGTTTTTTTTCTAGTATGATCTCACCTGTGGGTTTGTCTTTTACAGACTTTATTATTTTGATGTATGTTCCTTCTATGCCTAGTTTGTTGACACTTTTTATCATGAAGGGGTATTAAATGTTATCAATTTTTTTCTGTGTCTATTGAAATTACCTTGTGGTTTCTGTCCTTTATTCTGTTGATGTAATATATGATATTTATTGATTTGCATATGTTGAAACATCCTTGCATCCTTTGTATAGATCCCACTTGATCATGCTATATTATCTTTTTAATGTTCTGTTGAATTCAGTTTGCTAGTATTTTATCGAGGATTTTTGCATCTACGTTCATCAGGGATATTGCATTGCAATGGTTTTTTTTTTGTTTTTTTTTTTTTTTTTTTTTTTTTTTTTTTTTTTTTGGTTGTGTCTTTGTAATCCGGTTGAGGCCAGGGTAATGCTGGCCTCATAGAATGAGTTAAAGAGAATTTCCTACTTTTTAATTTTTTGGAATAGTTTCAAGAGGATTAGTATTAGCCTTTCTTTATATGTTTAGTAGTATTCTGCCATTAATCTACCAAGTACTGAGCTTTTTTTTGTTGGCAGGCTTTATATTATTGACTCAACCTGACTACTCATTATTGGTCTGTTAGGTTTTCTATTTCTTCCTAATTCAGTCTTGGTAGGTTGTTTGTTGCCACGAATTTAGCCGTTTCCTCTAGATTTTCCAGTTTGTTAGTATACAGTTGTTCATTATAGTCTCTAATAATCATTTGTGTTTCTGTAATATCAGTTGTAATGTCTCCTTTTTTATTTCTGATTCTGTTTATGTATATCTTCTCTCTTCTCTTGTTTAGTCTAGTTTCTGGCTTATTAATTTTGTTTATCTATTCAAAGAACCAACTTTTCAGTTCATGTATTCCTTATATTGCTTTTAATTCTATTTTGTTTAGTTCTACTCTGATCTTTATTTCTTTTCTTCTGCTAGTTTGGGCTTTGGGTGTTTTTTTTGTTTTTGTTTTTGTGTGTTTTTGTCTTTGCTTTTTGCTTTTATATTTGCTTGACGTGTATCATTACATTGTTTATTTGAAATCTTTCCAGTTTTTTGATATAGATGCCTATTGCTATTAATTCCCCGCTTATCACTGTTTTTGCTGTGTCTCACAGAGTTTGGTATGTTGCATTGTTATTTTCATTTGTTTCAATAATTTTTTATTTCTATCTTGAATTTTTTTATGTGTCAATGATTATTCAGAAATATTTTGTTTAATTTCCTTGTATTTATGCAATTTCCAAAGTTCCTTTTGCTGTTGATTTCCACTTTTATTCTATTTTGTCTAAGAAGATACTTGATATGATTTTGATTCTTAAAAATTTGTTGAGGCTTGTTTTGTGGACTAACATATGGCCAGTGCTGGAGAATGTCCCATCTACTAATGAGAAGAATGTGTATTCTGCAGTTATTTAATAAAAAATGTTGTAAATGTCTCAGGTACATTTAGTCTAAAATCCAGCTTAAGCCCAAAGTTTCTTTGTTTATTTTCTCTCTATATGATTTTTCTAATGCTGAGAATGTGGTATTGGTTTCCCCACCATTATTGTATTAACAGTCTATCTGTTTCTTTAGATCTATTATAGTCATGTTTGCTTTATGAATCTGGGTCCTCCAGTATTGGGTGCATATATATTTAAAGTTGTTATATCTTCTTTTTGTATTAATCTATTTATCATTATAGAATGACCTTCATTTTTTTTTAATACCATTTTTAACTCAAAGTCTGTTTTATCTGATATCATAATACCTACTCCTGTTTCCTTCTGGCTTTTGTTTGTACAGAATATCATTTTTCATCTTTTTATGTTCAGTATATATGTATATTTACAGGTAAAGTGTGTTTTTTTTTAGGCAGCATATAGTTGGGTCACATTTTTTAATCCATTCAGCCAGACTATATGTTTTAAATAGATAATCTATTCTTTTTACATTCAAGGTTATTATTAATATGGGAGGTTTGTTTCTATCATATTCTTATTTGTTTTCCAGTTGCTATTTACATGTTCTTGTTCCTTTCTTTTTCCTTTATTGTTAGTCCTTGTGGTTTGCTGATTTTCTGTGGTAGTATTATTTGATACTTTTCCACATTTGTGTGTTTGTTTTATCAGTAGGTTTTATACTTTCATGTGTTTTCATAATGGTAAATGTCATCCTTTCATGCCCAGGTTTAGGGCTCCCTTGGGCCTTTCTTGCAAGGCCTATTTAGTAATAATAAATTCCCTCATCATTTGCTTGTCTGGGAAATAATTTATTTCTTCTTTTCCAAAGGAAGGTTTCTATGGATCAAGTATCCATGAATGGCAGGATTTTTGGGGTTTTTTTTTTTGGCACTTTGAACGTATCATCCAATTCTCTTCTGGTCTGTAAAATTTCTGCTGAGAAATCCTCTGTTAGTCTGATGGAGACCCTTTTATAGGTAACTAGACACTTTTCTTTTGCTGTTTTTAGTATTTTTTAGTTTGTTATTGACCATAGACAGTTTGACTACAATATGCTGTAGAGAAAAAATTTTTGAATTGAATCCAGGAATCGCTGGGCCTACTGTATCTAATGTCTAAATCTCATGCTAGACTTGGGAACTTTTCGTCTATTATTTTGTTAAATAGGTTTTCAAATTCTTTCATCCTCTCTTTGCCTTAAATGAAACAGATAATTTATATATTTAGTCTCTTTATGGTGTTCCATATATCTCAAAGACTGTTTGTTCCTTTTTAATTTTTAATTTGTATCATTTTCTGACTGGGTTATTTCAAAAGACCTATGTATAAGTTCCAAGATTCTTTCCTCTGTTTCATCTAGTCTATTGTTGAAGTATTATAATATATCCTGTATTTATTCCATGAATTCTTTAGTTATAAAATTTCCATTTTTTAAATAACATATCTTTGTTAAGTTTCTCATTTATATTCTGATTTTTTTTTAAAATTTTATTTTATAGCTTTTTGGAATTCTTTTGTCACTGAGCTTCTTTAGTATCATAATTGTGAATTTTTTGGGGCGTCATATAGGTTTCTTTTTGAGTGGGATATTTTGCTGGAGGAATTATTGTTTTCATTTGAAGGTATTATATTGTCTTTCTTTTTTCATGTTATCTGCTTCCTTACATTCATATCTGCAAAATTATTATTTTTTTTAAATGAGTTCAAGAGTAGTTCCACTTCTACCCATAACTCATCCTATGGGAATGGTTCTACTGCTATAAATAACTAGAAAACCAGAAATAAAAATACCAGAAATAAAAAACCAGAAATAAAAGATCAGTGTGCTTGAAAACATGGTAACAATGAGAATAAGGATTAAATGGGAGAAAAAATACTTGAAAAAATATTAGCCTAAGAATACACTGATTTGATGAAAACTGTGAACTAACAAATAAAAGAAATTCAGTAAACCCAATGAGAATAAATATAATGAAAAGCGCATCAATGCACATCATAGTCAAATTTTTGAAAAGCATTGAAAAAGAAAAAAAATCTTAACAGCAGACAGAGATCAAAGACACAGAAGTTGGAGAGATCAGTATGACAGCCGACTTCTCCACAGAAAGTACTCATTTAAAAAACAAATGGGAAAAGGTGAGAAAAAATGACTTTCATCCTAGAAATTTATACTCAAAAAAATGTATCTCAAAAGTCAAAGCAGATCTGTCCTATAAAAATTGTTATTAACTTTCTTTGGGCAGAAGAAAAAACGATATCAGATGAAAATCTGAATCCACTGAAAGTAAATAGAGAATGGCAAATATGTGGATATTTCCTCATATCTTAATGTCTTTAAAATTAAGGAGCTTGTAAACAAAAGTAACAATGTGTAATTTTAAAATTTACATTGAAGTAAAATACTTGACAACAAATGAGCATATAAGGCAAATGAGAAGAGTAGAAATGAAAATATATACTGTTTAATATTCTTATTGTCTACTTAAAGTGGCACAATAGAATTTGAAAATAGACTGTCATACTTGAAGCTATAAACTTATGGCAACCACTATGAAATAAAATAATGTAATATAACCAAACTATCAATAATGGAAATGAATTACAATTACTTTTTAAATACTCAATTACTCCAGAAAATAGGCAGAAATAAGGAATTGAAAAAACAATGAAAATATGTTACAAAAATAAAGCAAAACCATAATATAGTAGCTTTAAATCCACTCACATCAATGTTTACTTTAAATGTATATAATTTAAATGCTTCTACTAAGAGACAAATATTGTCAAAATATAAAAAAAGTAATCCACAAAACACTCTATTAATATAAAAAACAAAAAGATATGATTTTAAAAGGGTGAAAAATATATCATGTGAACATTCATCAAGGGAAGGTTGGAATAGCTGCATTATTATCAAAAAAAGATTTCATAAAAAGGAATGCTACTAAAGTTCATCTCATGAGGATAAAGTACAAAATTCATTAGTAGGATGTAACATTCTTAAATAAATATATACATAATAAGAAAGTTTCAAAATACATAAAGAAAATTAGATAGAAAAGGCAAATTTTTCAAGATTTCCAAACTCTTTTTTAAGTAGTTGATAGAATAACTGGACAGAAATAAATAATGATGGACGGCACTTGAATAATACAATTAACCAACTTGACCAAGTTTACTTTTATACAACACTTCACTCAACAACAGCCAACTACACATTTTTTTTTCAAAAATACTCAAAAAATACTATAACATATACCTTATTATGGACATAAATTAAGTCCCAATCAATCTAATAGGCTTGAAATAAAATATGATGTCTAAATACAATATGAATAAACCAAAATCAATAATAAAAAGATATATGTAAAAACCTCAATTCTTGAAATTAAACAACATACCTATAAGGAACTCTTGGCTCAAAGAAGAAATCACAAGAAATTTTGAGATTTTTTTTTGAATTGAAGGGAAAGGAAGACCAACATACAAACATTTGACATATTCGTAAGGCTTAAATAAAAATTTAGAGCAGGGGTGTCTAATTTTTTTGCTTCCCTGGGCCACACTGGAAAAAGAAAAAAATTGTCTTGGGCCACACATAAAATATACTAACAATGATTGCTAATGAGCTAAAAATAACACAAAAATTTTTTATAATATTCTAAGAAAGTTTATTAATTTGTATTGGGCCACATTCAAAGCCATCCTGGGCCACATGTAACCCATGGGCCACAGGTTGGACAAGCTTGATTTAGAGCCTATATTAGAAGAAGAAGTCTTAAGTAAATAAATTTTTACTTCATGAAACAAGTAAAGAAAATGCAAATTACAATCAAATACTAGCACAAGAAAAAGGACAATACAGATAATAGAAACCTATTAAGTAGAAAAATGGTAATAAATAAAGAAAAATAAATAAAGCAAAAGCTGGCTATTTGAAAAGATCAGTACAATTGAAAATCCTCTTACCACACTGATGAATGAGAAACAAATAGAAATACAGAAGACACAAACTACCAATAGCAAAGAAATAAGGGATATGCTACAAATTCCACAGACACTAAAAGGATAATAAATATTAGAATAACTCTATGCCAGTGAATATGAAAATTTATATAAAATAGACAAATAGCACCATATTAAAAGGATAATATATCAAAAACAAATGGAATTTATTTTAGGAAGATGAGAATAGCTTATTATTTGAAAGTGTATAACTGGATTAGCATATTAGAAACAAAACCATAGATATCTCAATAGATGCAGAAAATATATTTGACAAAAATAAAATTCTTCTTTAATAAAAATCTTCAGGATACTAGTAGTGGAAAGATCAATATATAGCCAATAAAAGTCTGAGTGTTTTTCCCTCAAGACAAGGATGAGGATGTGTATTCTCACAATTTACTTATTCAAAATTCTACTGTTCCACACTGTGTTGAAGGTCAGAAAGGAAAGAAAGAAAAAAACAGGAGAGGAAAAGAAAGAGAGCAAGAGAGAGGAAGAAAAGGAGGGAGGGAGAAAAGATGGTAGGGAGGGACAGATCAGAAAGAAACAAGGAAAACATTATTCACATCCAGTGAAAAATTATAAAAAATATACAACACATGGCAATAGAAATAATCATTGACTTTAGCCAGATCACAGTATACAAGGCCAATAAATAAATATCAATTGTATTTCACTATGCTAAAATCAAAAATTTGAAAATTGAAAGTTAAAAATACAATATACCATAGCTTTAATGTATATGAAGTATATTGGATTAAAGGCAAATTTGACAAAGTTTGTGCAATGCTTAGAAACTGAAAATTTCAATATATTACCGAGAGAAATTTAAAAACAGTTAAATATGTAGTTGTTTATTAGCATATTAAATAGCATGGAGAGATACACTATGATTATAAAAATTTTCTATATCATATTTTTGATGGTGGTTATAAGACTACATACATTTCTCAAAACTCATTGAATTGTACACTTTGAAGTAGTGAACTTGTTATATTTAAATTATTTCTTGAAAAACTAATTTTTATTAAATAAATTTGTACCCTTTAGTTCAAATCCTGCATCAAGAAACTTTCCTTCTCCTGTTTCGTATTTGTATTTCTCTCACATTGAGAACTGTGCTTACAAGCAATATAAATATATAGCCATGTATTTATTCAATACATACAAAGTCTTAATACCATGATCTAAAACAAATTCAATCAGAATAATGTCAAAATTTCTTTGCAGAACTTATTCTTACTAGAATATATTACATTTAGTATGTAGAATCAGAGTACTGAAATTTTATTACTTTTTAGCAAGAGAATATTGTTTGTCACATTTTACTTTGTGGAACTTATTTATGACATAATATATTGCCAATTTTTGTGAATGTCTCATGCATAGTTGAGAAAAATATTTATTTTCTATTTCAGTGTTAAAAAATTTTTATTTATCAATATCAATATTTATATATCTCTTTTTTCTCTCTCTATACATATACACACGCATATTCTCTCTCTATATATATATATGTAGACTGTAAGTAGTTATAAATATATATATATGACTGACCTTGTTAGTTCAGTTATTTAGGTCTCTTATAGCTATGTATATATTTTGTTCACTTCATGTATTTTGACATATCTTGAACTAAGTAAGGCTTGTATGTTATATTCTTATTACTGTAGTTCTCACCTTTTCTGTTCACATCTTGTAACTTTAATAGCTACTGCCAAATCTCCTTCCATAAGGATTATACCAGAAATATTTCTGTAAGCATTACATGAAAATGCCTGTTTTAATACAATACTACATGTCATAACCATTAGAAATTTTGTGAGTCAAATAGTTTTAAAAATTGGGTTAAGGTAGTTTAAGTTTAAATTAGAATTTTCTTATTATCTTATTATATGTGATTTTGAGCATTGAGAGCAATAGGAGACAAACAAATACTTAGGCAGAGACAGACAGTTTCCCAGTGAAACCCAACCTTCAAGCCAAAAACAGCCTGAATCCTGAAAGCTGAAATGCCAGTTCCAGAGAGTCGGTGACTGTAATGGTTAATATTGAGTATCAACTTGATTGGATTGAAGAATGTAAAGTATTGTTCCTGCATGTATCTGTAAGAGTGTTGCCAAAGCAGATTAACATTTGAGTCAGTGAATTGGGAGAGGCAGACCCACCCTCAATCTCGATGAGTACCATCTAATCAGCTGCCAGGCAGCTGAAGCAGGCAGAAGAAGATGGAAAGAGAAGACTGGCTGATTCTTCTGGGCTTCATCTTTCTCCCATGCTGGATGCTTCCTTCTGTCCAACATCGGACTCCAACTTCATCAGCTTTTGGACTTTTGGACTTAGATCAGTGGTTTGCCAGGATCTCTCGGGCCTTTGGCCACAGACCGAAGACTGCACTGTCAGCTTCCTTACTTCTGAGGTTTTGGTACTTGGACTGGCTTCCTCACTCCTCAGCTTGAAGAAAGCCTATTGTGGGTCTTCACCTTTTGATCCTGTGAGTCAGTACTCCTTAATAAACTCCCCTTTATATATACATCTAACCTATTAGTTCTGTCCCTCTAGAGAGCCCTGTCTAATACAATGGCAGACATGAGAACTTCTATCCCCATCTTACCCTCTCTTTCTCGATTGGTTCTTCTTGATGATGCCTTTTAACCAGATGGTGTTTTTTCCAAAGGTCACCCATGGACCAATCAGCACACCCATTCTAAGCCCATAAAACCCTGGACTACCCACTCTCAGGTCCTCTCTCACTCTGAGAGCTTTCCTTCTGTCGCTCAATAAAATTCTTCTCTGCCTAACTCACTCTTCAAAGTCCACGCACCTTATTCCTCTTGGTCACAGGATATGAACCCAGAACATGCCAAGCTACAGGCGATGGGAATAAAAGAGAGCTATAACACACTCCCACTTGGCCGACTACAGGAGAGAGAGAGCTAAAACAGCTCCCACTTGCCAAGTTATGGGAGCGAAGTGCTGTGACATCTCTTGGGGGTTCAGACCTTGTAACTCCCTGAGCAAGACCTCTAACATCTCCCGGGGCTCTATGATTGCTGGCATCTCCAAGTTTTCAGGTGCCACTGAGTTCCCCTCATCTAGATGCCAGCACCCAAGCTGGAGACTGCTCACGGCACACCCAGTCCAGCCTTGGGCTGAGCTCAGAGCTGTGGCAGGTGCGGGAAGGAAGCCAGGACATCAGCCAAGCGCAGCCTACTGGGCCAAGCAGGCAGAAGAAGACCAGTAGGCCCCAAGCAAGGCCCAGGCTTAGGCAGCAGCGACTGCAGATTTCCAACTGGCAAAGTAGCCCTGGAGGAATCCTGTGAAAGCATCACTAATAGAGTTGTCATTTTTTCTTTTACTTTGAATTATATCTATATTTTTACATTTTTTTTACTGAATAGCTGCTATTGATTAAATTATTTTAAATAAATATTTGGACTTCGTAGAGGTTATATGTTTTTGTTAGTAGATGTTTTGTTTATATGTTTTTGTTAGTGATAAAATAATTGGCATAGTTATATATGCCAAATAATTTTCATAGCAACTCCTCATTTTCAGAAACACTAAAATGTTAGATCTCTTATTCAAACCAATTTTCTAAGTGAAATTTACATTTTCTAAATTTCTCTTTTATGTAGAAGTACAAATATTTCAACAAAAATTATATTTGAAAATAAGTAAATTCAGTCAGGTACCAGAATGATAGGAAAATTTACATCACTCAAATTTCTTCCAAAATGTTCCTGTCTTTAAGCCCATGTTTTGCTTAATTGCTCTTAGTAACTTTAACTCCTTTTTCTCTACTTAGTTATCTATGTGTTTCAATTTCAGGGTAGTAATTTTGAGATATAAATAAATATAATAACTTTTAAATATTTCTTCTGGTCTATGGGTATAGCTTACTTTCTGTAATTATTGCTATATTTTATTTCCAGAGTTGTCTCTACTATACTGACCCATTAAGGGTATGATTCAGGTCTCTTTTTGTCCTTAATACCAGCAGAGTATGTGGAATCTAGTAACTGCTCAGTATTTTCTGAATAAAAAAATGTAGGTTAAATTGAGGGGCCTAGTTTAAGTTAAATTTACTTTCCAAATTTTCCATCTCTTTAATCCTACAGCATGTCATCTAACTCGTTTTACCCAACTTTTCTCCTTATTAAAATGAGAATGATAATTACATGCACCTTTTACAATTATTACATAAGAATTAAGTGTGTCAAAACATTTAAATGTTTAGAATAGCACTTCAAAGACTAAGCACACAATAGTGTTAGCCATGATTGTTGCCACTAGTATTATTACAACAAAGGATTTCAATATTAATACATAAGTATTTAGTAAAATTTCTTAAGTGTAGATTGATTGGGTTGAATCTTACGAGGTCAGTTTGCTTGCCAGAAATTAAAAAAAGGGCCCAGGATGTAAAAGGGGAATTACTAGATCAAAGGATAAGAAGCAAATGTTAAAATAAAGCAGTGATAACACAGACAGCTAATAAGAAGTTATTGACCAATAATTGTACTGCCTAAAGCAACATCTATTTTGTTCACTCTATTATTTATATTAATGAGCTTTTTAATACCTTCATCTTTTCCTTGTAAGTTTAGACTTGTGAGTAGTTAGACCTCAGCAAACTCTGCGGATAACTATGACTTAATGACATACTATTTTTAGCATCTATTGGAGATGCTAAAATTAATAATGCCACATATATGATATAAAGAGCCTTGTCACTTTGAATTTGCTGGTTGAGCAACTTTGCTTTTAAAATGTATATAAATTACATCGTGGTTTTTAATGAGTTGAGGTGTTTGCATTGATATTAACTCTGTAATATCATTTATGCAGAAAGAGAAGTTTTCTAAATATTTTTAAAACCTTTCCTAGAACAGAATTATTTCTATGGTAAATAAATATATCTTTAACTATCTATTCCTCTATCCATTCACTAATACACTTATCTTTTTGAGAAAGCTATATTAGATTATGAAACCTAATTACTGTAAAATTATGAAAACAATTCTGAATTAACAAAACATAAACAATATTTCTCTTAGCAATAGTCTAGTAAGAATCATAACTCACTTTTACATACTGTTTTATACTTTACAAAGTGCATTTGTATACATTATTGCATTAGAATTTCACAATACTATATGAGAGAAAGAGAAGTAGTATAAATCCCACTTTAAACATGAGAAATACAGCATGCAGAAGAAAATCGATTTGCTCTGCCTTCCATAACTAGCATAGGACTTGAAGTCAGTGTTGTGACTATTTTAGTGCTTTTTCTATTATTACACAAAACCTCTTTAAACACAGGCAAATTTTCAAACTGCTCATGCGTTGATTATGCTTTCATTTAAAAGTAAATATGGTGCCATTATTACAACTCCTTAATTAAACATATCATTGAATTTATTTAAATATAAATTATATTTTATGTGATTAAAAGTTCTTAACATTTAAGTGTTGTCTCAGAACAAAACTACAATAATTATAAGCATTAATTTAGATAGTGTATTACTTTTCTATTTCTATAAACAAGTTACTATGAATTTAGCAGCTTTAAGCAGCAGCCATTTATTAACTCACAGTTTTGGTAAGTGAGAAGGCTGCCATGGCATGGATGAGTTCCCTGCCCAGTGTCTCACAAGGCCAAAATAAAATTTTAGGGAAAAGAGGCAGAAATATTCTTGTATTAAATGTTAATCATTTAATAATGGCTTTCTTTCTGTTTTCTAGGCTCTTCCCTTCTGGAAATCTTGGTAGATTATATTGGATTTCCTGGGTCAATGCTTTAAATGTTCTAAGTTTCTGTTTTCCATCTCTTTTTGTTGTTGTTGATTTGCCATTTTCCAGAAGCTTTGCTCAAATTATTTTTCAAGTCTTACATTGAATTTTATATTTCTGCCATAATAATTTAAGCTCCTAAAATCTCATTCTTGTTCTCTAAATACCCATTTTTTCTGATAGTCTAATCCTTGCTTTTGCATGCCATGTTTTGACTTTCTTTGACAGTATAAATAAAACTTTTGAAATTTTTATATCTCATTCATTGTCTATATCTTTCATATTTAAGTGTTTTTCATGTATGTTTTGAGATTTAATTGAAGGCCAATGAAAAATTTTATTTTCCAGGTTTAACTAGAATCTGAAAATACTACCAGTAGCTATAGTCAAATGGCATGTTGACAATATCTTCTAAAACTAAAACCCAAGTTTAAGGTGTTCTACTTCTCCAATGCATCTACTGTCTCTTAATTTTGCAGTAATGTTTTTATCAATGCGATTTTAAGGGTGAATTCTAAATTTTGAAGATAAATGACTTTTACAGTGTGATTTTCTAAATTGTGCTTCTGATCCTTACATTTTATATAAAGAAAGCATATTCCACAGGTTTATCGCCTTGATTAACAAAGAAGCTAATTAAAAAAAAAACATTAAATCAAAGCTCATGAGAATATTCATAGAAAAATGTTTGCTCTATCGTGATAATAAATAAATTACCTCAAATCTTCACCCTTGCCTTGGCCATATAATACTTATCATGTCTTTCCTTGTCCCTTGACTTTGGACTTGAACATGTGATTGTTCTGGTGAATTCAATGCAGATGGAAGTAACAGTGTGCTTATGGCTTAATAAAACTCATATGTTTCTTTTATTCTTTCTTATCTTCCTACCATCATCTTGAGAAGCGATTCTGGGTTCTCCAGAGAAACAGAAACTAAAGAGTCTCTCGCTCTCTCTCTCTCTCTCTCTCTCCCTGTCCCTCTCTCTCTCTCTCTCTCTCTCTCTCTGTGTGTGTGTGTGTGTGTGTGTGTGCATGTGTGGAGAGAGAGAGAGAGATGAATAGAGAAACAGAAAAAGAGAAAGACAAAGTGAGAAATAGAGATTTATTATAAGGAATTGGCTTACATGGTTATGGAGGGTGAGAATTCCCAAGATCTGCAGTTGGCAAGCTGGAGATCCAGGAGAGTTGATCATGTCTTTCCAGTCTGAAAGCCAGCAGGCCCGAGACCAAAGAAGAATCAATGTTTCCATTTTAGTTCAATGGTAGAAAAAGACAATTGTCAGCTCAAGGCGGGCAGGCAAGAGGAGTTCCCTCTTACTTGTGAGAGAATCAGCCTTCATGTTCTAATCAGGCCTTCAACTAATTGGATGAGACCCACACATGTTAAGGAGGGTACTCCACTGTAATTGGTTTATGCATTTAAATGTTAGTGTTCTCCAAAAATACCCTCACAGACACACTCACAATGTTTGACCAAATAGTTGTGCATCCCATGGCCCAGAAGTGGTTGACACATAAAATTAACCATCATGACTAGATAGCTACTACCTCCCCAGAATGACCTAAAGTAGACCCGTTCCAGTTAAGCCCAACCAGACCCACAACTTGAAGCAGAACCACTATCCAAGCATAGCCTGTATAAGTAGACTCTCTGGGAATCCACAGATTTCATGTGAATAAATAATTTGTTTGCTAAGATAATGAGTTTTGGGTGGTTGATGATGTAACAATGATAGACTATATAACTAATCCTTACCTACTAGGTAACTGAACAACCATTGTTATGAGACAACCACATACAGTCATAGTAATATATTTCATTTAAAGGTCACTACTCTTATCTAAATATGCTTCCTTATTTTGAGCCTTCACCAGATTTGCTATATTAGAATCTATAAATGCATAGTTTTAGGTGGGATACTAATCTGAGTGTAAATGTCAGTGTATATCCCACAGGTGACTGCAAGTAGTGTCTTAAAATGGTAAACAAAGTAAACTACTAAAGGAATTATTTTTTTCATTTTGCATGGGACATGTCTGTGTAAGCATTTATCCTCTGTACTTGGGGTTTTTAATATAATTTCCTCCTTAATTTATGTTAACTTAACCAATTTTCTGTTCTCATACTTGTCATCACTTAATGTCTTTCCAATAAGTGTGTTATGACATCCACTTTCTAGTCTTGAGGAATCCTGATCTGTCACAAGTGCACTTCTAAAAATATCATTTTCAACTTCTCTAATTTCTACTGCACTAACTCTGAAGTCTAAGGATATGTATTCTTTGTGTTTCCAACACAGAACATTCATTTTCTTGAAGAACATATGATGTTATTTGAATGCTACTTGGAGATTTTTTCATAAATTGAAACAAATTTTCTCTTGAATGCATTACACCTCATCTCCACCAAAGACAGTTCAAATTCTTAAAAATAAAGTCAAATCTAGAGACCATTACGTCAAATGTTGAAACCAGATTAGACAGCTAGATACGAATGCCGTGCCCACTAATATGGAGCCACATGATACTCGAGAAATGCCTTATATCTATTTGTTTCTTTGACTTAATGCCAAGCATACAGGTTTCTTGTGATGATTAAATGAGACAATATATGTGGCAGATAATTTAGATTTGGTAAGTTATGTACCATGATATGTATTCTTTCTATTTGAATTATAGAACACCCTGTTCGTATGTTGAGAGGCTACTCAGTGTCAGCTTACTTGTGCTCTCACAAGAGAAGTGTTTAGTACTAAAAATGTCAAGTGAGCCTTCACCAGATTTGCTGTATTAGAAACTATAAATGCATTGTTTTAGGTGGGATACTAATCTGAGTGTAAATGTCAGTGTATATCCCACAGGTGACTGCAAGCAGTGTCTTAAAATGATAACCTAAATAAACTACTAAAGGAATTATTTTTTCATTTTAACTTTTAATAAGAATTACAATAAAAATGAGAATAAATTGCAGTGTGAGGAGACTATAGTGTGTACATATATAAATATCCTAAATAAATGATTCTGACAAGTAGATGATCATTTTTAAGTTTATAATTATTAGAACTCTAGTCCAATTGAGAAATGGCTGGTAATAGTACAGTATTAAAATTTTCTAATCTCCCCAAAAAGATCTACAAAATAAATATCTATTATAAATGATTTTAGTAGTTTATTCTGCTAAGTGCTAGGGATAAAAAGTTTTATATATAATAATTGTATTGTACATAATAAAAACAGCATTATGGAGAAATCACTGTTCCTGGCAGTTTGCTACCCACTTTACATAACAATTAATTTAAAATTCACACGTTTGTTAAGACAGCTATTGTTGTTATCGCCATTTTACAAGCAGAAAATATAGTGCTAAGAATTTGTCACTTGTGTAAAGTCATAAAGCTAGATAAAGACAGAACCAGTGTAAAATAATAGATGCAGCCTATTTACATTCATAGCCAAATCTTAGACCTTAACATTGCCCTACTATCTTTCACAGTTGAAACACAGACCAAGTATTCCACATTCAGATAAAAAAATCCTGATTTTTTTAGCGGTCTCAACCGTTCATATTTCTTTTACACTTCCAAATTCATGCTATTGCACCAGAAAATAGAAAACTCTATACCACTATGCTTCTTGCTACATAAATCCAACATTCCCAAATATTACTTTGTGAAATGCTTGCCACCATCCTTCAACTTATCTCCGGTAAAACCCCTCCTTGTTAAGAAATAGGCATTTATCATCTATTCCAAGCTACTACCAATTTCCTGTTGTCTCTTACTTGAGTACTACTACCACTTTCACCCCAGGAGTAAGAAATGTTTCATAATTCAAGGAATATCACTTTTACCATACATATCCAAAATGAAACTCCTACACGCTTCAAGCAATCCTGATTCTTTTTAATTGGTACTTAGCTCTAAATAACATTAGCTTATATCCACTTTCTCAAAATAGAATACTATATATCATTTTTAACACATCATATTCTCTCATCTTCCATATCCATCAGCAAATTCTTGTGATACTACCTTTTACAGATCTCTAGGATCCACCCTCTTTAATTCCACATTCTCCTCCCTAGAGCAAGCAATGTCAATCATCTATGGGGGCAACGGCAGGGCACATCTACTAACTTGTCCCTCTTTATCAACTCTTGTCCATTTCTACCATGGCAATTGGTTAAAAAAGATTCTAATTAGCCCAAGATCCTTACTTAAAATGCTTAAGTTTTTAATAAAAGAATTTAATAAAATCCGGCATTATTCTATATTACTATTAGTTTATGTGTTCTACCACACTGGTCTTCTTTCAGTCACACAAGTTAACTTCAGCCTTTACCACTGGACCTTTTAAATGTTCCTTCCTCTGTCTTAGATTCATTTTCTCTTCATTTATCTGTTTATTTTCTATTTCTTTGTATCAAAGTTTAATTTCTTCAGGAAATCTTCCCTGATCCTAGTATGTCTTTCCCTTATCTCATGGCACTGTGAGACTTATTTTCACAGATCTTACTCTGCTGTAATGTTATGTTTGTGATTATTTTATTCATGTCTGCCTCAACCGTTAAAGAGCTGTAAGTTCCACAAAAACAGAGATAGTTTTATATATTGAGTCTTGAAAACAGAAAGTTCTTAAAAGAATATTTGCTGATTATTGGATTGACTGATATTGGTGGTAGAAGGTCCTTTATTCCACTCAGATTTCTTCTTTCTACATCCATCTTCTGGGATTATAGCATATTACTTCTTTAATAATTTTGCTTTTGGTTTGAGATTTTTTTTGAAAAACACCACCTTCAGTCCTTAGTAACCTGTAAGTACTTCCTTCACTTAACTCTTTATCAGCAATATCTGTATATGCAGCATACAGCACAGCTTCATTTGTTAGATGTCAATAATATTTTGTTGACCAAATGAATCAATTAATGCATGAAAGTGAAGTTAATGGTAAGTAAAATCACGGAAGTCTTACATGGTGAATATAATTTACTGGGAGGAGCCTACATTGAGGATTTATCCAAAAGTGTAATTGACTGGCAGCAGCAGCCCACCTGGATCAACTGCTGCAAAGATGCCGGCTGCAGCAGGGGAGGCACAGCTGGCAGCATGCTCCATGGATCTGGCAGGAGTCAGAAACAGGTGGAATCTCTGCTCCCTTCCTAGTTGGTGGGGCAGGAGCCCTTCCCTCCCGGGTGCAGCTGCAGCTGCCCAGTTGCCCTGGTGGACCTGGACATCCTTGGGCTCTTGAAGACTGTGAAGCCCCCTTCACTCACGGGCTTGGAAGTGCCTGCTCCCCACGCCTGGCCTCTCCCCACCCCCAGTGCCTACTCTGATTTTGGAGCCAAGTTGAGGCCAAGCGTGGGTGCTGTTGCAACCTGGCAAGGTGTGCTTGCACTTGGGGCAGTGCTGAAATGCCAGCCCCCTCCCACCTCAGCCCCCTCTGGACTTTGATCACCAATGAACATGGGAGGAAGGCCAAGGGGGCCCTGAGGGAAGCTCAGTGTAGGCCTGAATGCACCCCTCAGCACAAACAGCCTGGGTGCCTGGACAACATGATTAATGATGACAGGAGGCAGACAAGAAAAGGGGCAGGTCCCCGGTAAAGCCAGACCTTCAAGCCAGGGATGGCTTGAAATCTGGGGTCCAGGCTGTCAGTTCCAGGTGGAGTCCATGGCTCAGAGTGAGAACTTACGGTGCTTTTTCCAGGCTTGCCCATGGCCACCCATGGACTAATCAGCATGCACTTCCTCCCTTCTGAAGCCCATAAAAACCCTGGAATCAGCTACACTCACAGAGACGTTAGGACTACCAGCTGTGGGAAGGAGCTATCAACTGCAGCAGGTCTTCTCTCTGCTGAGAACTGGACACTCGTTAGGATGACCTGCCTAAGGAAAGGAGCTACTCACTACAAGTCTCCTCTCTGCTGAGAACTGGACACTTATCTGGACGACCTGCCTATGGAAAGGAGTCAGCTACTTCAGGTATCCTAAGAGCTGTTCTGTTGCTCAATGAAGCTCCTCTACTGCCTTGCTTCCCCTCCAGTTGTTCACAGACCTCATTCTTCCTGGACACGGGACAAGAATTTGGGACTTGCTGAATAGCAGGACTGAAAGAGTTGTAACACAAACGGGGCTGAAACATGCCCCACCTCACCATGTTACAGGTGTCAAGAAGGAGAGAAGAACTGCAGCTTTTGGGGATCCTAGACCTAGGGTCTTCCCTAGCCAGGGCTGCAACACCCTCTTTGAGGCTCTGTGGTTCCTGGCATTTCCAAGCTTCTGGGTACCACTGTGTTTCCCGGTGCTAGAAGTGGAAGCCAATTGTGGTACTCGTGGTCCAGCCACAGCCTTGCATGGAGCAGGGGCCTGGAGCTGCCTGCCCTGCTACAGCCAGCATGCCTGGCTGTGTGCAGTGACCAGACCCCACCCTTGCTCACACATCCCTAACTGCTTCACTCCTGGCTCACCCTTGGCAGGCAAGGGATCCGGTCCGGTAGCGTAAACTGAGTGCAGCCTACTGGGCCAAGTGGGTGGAACAAGCCCAGAGGGCCTGAGCAACACTCAAGCAGAAGGCACCACTGGCTACCAAGGTTTCTTGTTGGCAAAGTGACACCCCAAGGATCCCCTGACATTTTTGGAGGTGCTTTTCTGGGATCTTCAGGAGAGTGAGTAAAAGAGGACTTGCTGCTTTCCATCCTTTTTTTTTTTTTTTGGAGTCAATAAACTACACACTAGCCAGAATGAAAGAAAAACATGGGCCTCTGTTCAGCCAACTAAAAGCAACAAGTGTGGTTGCTGGACTTAAGACACAGAGGACAGGCTTGCTGGGGGTACACTGTCAATCACTTGTCACTCTTGGGTCTTGGGAATGTTGGCCTTTTGCCAATCCGGTTTCCCTTCACAAAAATTTAGCTGTCACTTGAGACTGGAAGGAGGTCCTGGGGCAACTGCAGATATCTGACTGAGGCTACACCTTAGTGTTATCCAAAGGCCCCTGGACTAACTCCCATCCCCAACTGCCCATTAGGGTGTCAGCACTAGGGCCCTCAGTCTTTCCTATCACACTTTTTGTCTCATTCTCTCTTTCTTTCTCTCTCTCTTTCTTTCTCTCCCTTCCTTCCTTCCTTCCTGCCTGCCTTTCTTTCTTTCCTTTCCTTTCCTTTCTTTCTTCTCTGACTATAATGGCTACTATTCTCTTTTTTATATACAATGTTAAGGGTACCTCAGAGAAAATATTACTGGCTAGAATAAGCACTTGGAAGCCCGCCATGGTGGCTCACACCTGTAATCTCAGAACTTTGGGAGGCCGAGGTGGGCAGATCACCTGAGGTTAGGAGTTCGAGACCAGTCTGGCCAACATGGTGAAACCCCATGTCTACTAAAAATACAAAAAATGAGCAGGGAATGGTGGCAGGCACCTGCAGTCCCAGCTATTTGGGAGGCTGATGCACAAGAATCGCTTGAACCTGGGAGGTGGAGGTTGCAGTGAGCCAAGATAGCACAACTGCACTCCAGCCTGGGCAATAGAGTGAGACTCCATCTCAAAAAAAAAAAAAAAAAAAAGAAAACAAAAAAGACAGAAAGAAAAAAGAAAAAATAATAAGCGCTTGGCTTAGTGATCAGGAATGTAAATCAGAAGAATGTAATGTGGTATCTGTCTATTGTTAGAAGCAAGGAGAATGTAACAACTGAGACTTTTCTTTCCCCTGTTGAAGGAAGCCATTTCCATAGGGAAAGAGGCTTTCCCCTGGGCACCTTCCCCTTCCCTGCACTTCAGTTTTTTCTTTTTTATTTTTTTTTTCTTTTTCCTCCACCATGTAAGCAGTCAACATAGTGCATTGGGGGAGCTTTTCTACGCAAGAGATTTTTTTTTTTTTCCTTTTGAGAGACATCTTATTAGGCCCAGTCCTAAATTCCCAGGACTCCCTTTCTTTCCTTGGTTTGAAGGGGACCTCGTTTCACAGTTTTACTTTAGCATTCTGCTTATGATAGGGAAGAAATGAAAGAGTGGCCTCGGCTGCCCCACCAATTACTGGCTGCAATTTGGTAAGGGCTACCTGGGACTTAATTTAATGAGTCCGTACAAAGGGAAAGCTAAACCTGAGGTATCCAGAGGCAGATGAAAGTGCAAGTCAGGAGGCACAGTGCAGGTGAGCATGACTAATTCCTACCATTAGGGCCTTCCACTTCTGGATGGAGGTCATGTTGCATCCATGGCATAGATAAGGTCTAGGGAACTCAAAGGTGACTGACAATGGGAGAATAGGGCAGCATAAAGGTAAGTGCAAATATTCTTATCCACTAGGCCTCCCTGCTACATGGGTGAAAGTGGCATGTGCAAAGGTTGCCGGGACTTAGGGATATAATGTCAAAATAAAGAAGGTGATGTCTTTTTTTTCTCTCCCTCATGTACCCTGTGTATTGGCTTGAAAGAGAAAGGAACAAATGGAAACCATTTCCCCCCTCTTTCCAGATGGGTAATCAACCATTTCAGCCTGCACTCTTTTCGAGTGCTTCCTGAATCCCTGGGACCCCCTTGACCCTCAGACTCTGGAGAGAGGAAAGAATGCCTTTTCCCCCTCTGTCCTCTCTTCCAGAAGGGGAACCAATCATCTTTAGCCTGCACTCTTCTCAAGTGCATCCCGAATCTCTGGAACTCCTTTGACCCTCAGACTCTGGAAAAAGAAAAAAAAAAAGGTTTTTTCTTCCTTTTTTCCTCTTCTGTCTTCTCTTTGAGGATGGGTAATTGCATCTCTACACCACAGGACACTCCCCTCAGATGCATTCCCCAAACTGAGAAGATATTACAAATCTAACTGAGCAATCTCTTGAAGAGGGACAACTTTTACAGTAAGGCTTATCAGTTTTACCTGTGAGGTTAATTTTGTTAAGGCTCAAAAGCCAGCCATATTGGCCATTTGGCATGGCTAAGGCTGGTTAATAAGACATTTAAGAGGACTTTTTAAAAAAGGATTTCTGGCCGGGTGCGGTGGCTCACGCCTATAATTCCAGCACTTTGGGAGGACAAGGTGGGTGGATCACGACGTCAGTTCAAGAGCAGCCTGGCCAAGATGGTGAAACCCCATCTTTACTAAAAATACAAAAATTAGTTGAGCATGGTGGTGGGTGCTTGTAATCTTAGCTACTCAGGAGGCTGAGGCAGAGAACTGCTTAAACTTGGAAGGCGGAGGTTGTAATGAGCTGAGATCATGCCACTGCACTACAGCCTGGGCAACAGAAAAGGACTCCATCTCAAATAAATAAATAAAAAGGATTTATATGGTTAAAAGTCAGCTTAACTAAAAGTGGATATCCAAGCTACAGGCATATCAGGCATATATAAAAGACCTTTATGTCTTTTCTCTCAATGGATCTAGTTTTTCTGGAAAAAGGATTTTTTTTTCCTTTTTAGCCAACTTAATTATTTTTCTCCATTTCATCTTGCCACTCCTAATGCACACATAAGAGGCCCTAAGACAACTTTTGATGGTTTGGAACTCCTTGGGAAGAACAGAAGAGATGCCACTGACCCCATTTTTGTAAAAAAAGAAAAACAAAAACAAAAACAAACAAACAAACAAAAACCTGTTTTTCTCATGGAACCCCAGGAATTAGAGGCAGATAGATCTCAAAATCTGTTTTTGTCTTCCAACTATGCCTGCTTATTAGGCCCTAGATACTGCATGGTTTCATAGCCCTGTTTCTTAAAGGGCTCCACCCTGAGGCCAGTAAATAAAATTAGATGGGCAAATGAAAATCTAACAACTACTGGATCTTCTTTCTCTGTAGTTATGTATGTGTTCTATGTGTGGTGCTTATATAAAAAAAAAGAGCTTTAATTGACTGGTTTAAGGAAAAAATAAGCATTTGCATAAAATATTTTTAAAGAAAAATAAAGCTGTAATGCCTTTTTGTTCACATGACTTTAATCTTTGAGAAATAAAAACAGCTTTAAAGATTATTGGTAAAATAAAAATGTCTTCAAAGTGTAGACATATGGGCTAGTTGCAGTGGCTCACTCCTGTAATGCCAGCACTTTGGGAGGCCGAGGCGGGCAGATCACGAGGTCAGGAGACTGAGACCATCCTGGCTAACACGGTGAAACCCCGTCTCTACTAATATGCAAAAAAAAAAAAAAAAAAAAAAAAAAAAGTAGCCGGGCGTGGTTGTGGGTGCCTGTAGTCCCAGCTACTTAGGAGGCTGAAGCAGGAGAATGGTGTGAACCTGGGAGGTGGAGCTTGCAGTGAGCCAAGATCATGCCACTGCACTCCAGCCTGGGCAACAGAGTGAGACTCTGCCTCAAAAAAAAAAAAAAAAAAAAAGTAGACATATGGTCTACATTATGCAGGTCAGATACTAGGGTTGCTAAAGGCTTTAAGGTCATGAAATGCTTCTTCGGCTTTTGAAAATTGTTTGACTTGCCTTCTTTTCAGCTTGGTAAGGCCTGGGGACATATGAAGTTAACCACACCCCGACTATGTTGGAAAGAGTTAGGCCTTATCTGCACCTAGTACATAATTAAAATAACTTATCATGTTTTACACCAAAATTTAAAAAATTGCTAAGAGTTACCATTTAACATGTATTGAGACTACTGAAAATAGATTTACATGCAAGGTGTTTAAGGTAAGTAAAATGTGTTTTTAATAAAAGATTATAGGAAGACATGTAAATTTTTTCTTACTGTAGAGGGTTAAATAATTATTTTTAATTAAGATAAAGCTAAAGGTTTAAATGAGTTGGGAAGGTTTGTAAAACTTAATATTGTAAAATAAAATCTGTGTGTGAACATACTGACTAAATTCAAAAGGGTATTATTCGATTTTTCCATAAATTGAGCATTGGAATAAAAGCACAAGTGTTTCTTAAGGCACTGATATACTCTTTAACAAAAATTAGTTAAGAGTTATAAAAGGTTTGTAAGAATCTCACCTCATGGTCAAACTGATTAAAATTGGATAGATTTTTCTATAAGTTTTCATTAAAAAATTGGGATTGACATTAAAAGACAAATAAAGGGTGAAATTTGTCTATCTCTCTTGAACAAGATTTTCATGTAATGTTAAGGATATTGAAAAATTTTAGTTTGTTTTGTGAATAAACTACTGAAAAAAGAAGGAAAAGACAAGAGACAGATCGTTTGGAAAGCTGAGTCTGCCCTAGTAATGAGTAAAGGTTTTTGCTTTTCCAAAAAAATGTTGAAGCGGCTGGGCACGGTGGCTCACGCCTGTAATCCCAGCTTTGGGAGGCCTAGGTGGGCGGATCACAAGGTCAGAAGATCAAGACCATCCTGGCTAACACGGTGAAACCCTGTCTCTACTAAAAAATACAAAAAATTAACCGGGCGTAGTGGCAGGTGCCTGTAGTCCCAGCTACTTGGGAAGCTGAAGCACGAGAATGGCGTGAACCTGGGAGGCGGAGCTTGCAGTGAGACGGATCGCGCAACTGCATTCCAGCCTGGGCCACAGAGCAAGACTCCGTCTCAAAAAAAAAAAAAAAAAAAAAAAATGTTGAATCATCATTTTGGCTAAATAAATTACTTATGGTAATCTGGAATTCTTTTTATAATATCAAGTGTTTTAAACCTTTAATGTATTTGATAGGCTTCCCCAAATCAAATTTCAGCTTCATAATTATCTTTTCTGACCCCTAATTTTGGGATGCTACAGAGGGCCCCTGGAGCATTCAAACAAGAGGTAAATAGGATTATTTGACATGTTTAGTTACATGGGATTTTCCAAATAAAAATAAGGTTTAATCTTGTTTAAGTTATATTTTAGTAAACGATAATGTATGTTCCAAAATTGTATGGGATTTCTAAAATTCAAATGTCTGAGTATATGCTAGCAATCATAAATAGCATTATTATGTTAAGTTACCGTAAGCCACAGAAATAACCAAATTTCCTTGTCAATTGTGTTTTTGACTGTGAACTAACCTAAGACATTTTGTCATCCACAGGCAATTGTTGTCTTGTATTTATTCTCTTCAAAGGATAGTTTATAATCAGTTATAGGACTTGGATAGGTTCTCATTGGTTGTTTTGAAGTTTTTCTCTGCATTTTAGATTAACCCTGCTTATTCCTGTGAACTAGCCAACTATCTCTGACTGCAGCTCAGACCAAAAAAAAGGGATAGGTAAAGTAAAAATCTGGATGAACATTCTAATTCTGGGCAATTATCCTGTAAATCCTGCCAAGAGATGGGGGGTAAATGGGGTGCCGATAACCCAAAGGTTTCTTTTTCGGGAAAGTAAACTCAAGGGATTATCTACCCCCCTAAACAGTTATTTCTCTTTTAAACTTTAACTGCCCCCATACAAGATTTAATTTCTTTTACCAGGGTGAAACAGCTCTAGCCACAATATTGTTTTCTGAATGATTAGTCTATTTTACTTCTTATTTCTGTTATCTTTGGCACTAGATTTTTTCCTTCGCATAATTAACCTCCTTGTAAAATTTGTTTCTTCTTGCCTAGAGGCCATCAGACACCAAGTGGTCATGCAACTGGAGCCTCAGATGATGGCTCCCTTTTACCAAGGACCCTTGGATAGGCCTCTGAGAAAGATCTGACTGCGTTTTCCCCAAAACAGTGCCTCCTAGCAGCATGAAGCCGTTAAGCGTGGTCATCATCCCTATCCTAATGGCAGTTTCCTGTACCTCTTCAGAGGGAGGATTGATGGCAGCGCAGCCCACCTGCAGTGGCTGCTGCGAAGACACCATCTGCATTGGGGAAGCAATTGCTGGGGTTGCACACTCCATGGAGCCGGCAAGAGCTGGGAACAGGAGGGGGCCCTGTCCCCTTCTGAGCTGGCAGGGCTGGAGACCCCAGACCCCCACCCAGGTGTGGCTGCAGCCACCCAGCTGTGGCTGTGGATCCATGCATCCCTGCACTCTCAGAGGCCTGGGAATCCAGCTGCCCCCGCAGGCTCAGAAGTTCCTACTCCCACTGCCTGGCCTCTCCTCACTTTCGGTGCCCGATCCAATTTCAGACCAAAGTTGAGGCCCCTCCTGGATGATGTCACAACCCGGACAGGTGTGCATGCACTTGAGGCAGTGCTGGCACACCAGCCCCCTGCTGCCTCAGCCCCATCCGGACTTTCGGTGTGGAGCACAGGAGAGAGGCTGAGTAGGAGCTGAGGCTGACTCAGCACAGGCCTGTAGGCACCTCCTCAACAGCATGGACAACATGATTGATGGCAGCTGGAGGCAGACAGGTTCCTTTGTGAAAAAGAGTGGATCTCCTGTTAAGCCTAACCTTCAAGCCAGGTAAAGAATAGGGCCTGGGCTGTCAGTTCCCTGTGGAGTCAGCAGCCTGGAGTGATAATTTATGGTGACTTATATGGGCCCACCCATGGCTGTCGATGGACCAATCAGCATGCACTTCCTTCCTTCTGAAGCCCATAAAAACCCTGGATTCAACCAGACTCACAGAGATGTCAAGACTACCAGCTTTAGGAAGGAGCTGCCCAGTGTGGTTCTCCTCTCCACTGATAGTTGAACACTCGTCGGGATGACCTGCTTGTGGAAAGGAGCTACCCACTTCACATCTCCTGAGTGCTATTCTGTTGCTCAATGAAGCTCCTCTTTGCTTTGCTCACCCTCCAGTTGTCCATGTACCTCATTCTTCCTGGATGCAGGAAAAGAACTTGGGACCTGCCAAAGAGCAGGGCTGAAAGAGAAAGAGCTGTAACACAAACAGGGCTGAAACACACCTCCTGCTCACCACATTGCAGGTACAAGAAGGAAGAAGCTAGTTGCAGCCCTCTGGGGAGTCCAGACTTAGGGTTCCTTGAGCCAGGGCTGCAACACCATCCTTGGGGCTCTGCAGTTCCTGATATCGCTAAGTTTTGAGGCACCGCCGCATTCTCTGGTGCCCACAGTAGAAGCTGCTTATGGTATGCCTGGTCCAGCTGTAGCGTCTGATGGAACCAGCACCTGTTCCGGCTCTGGGAGCTGCCCACCCTGCTGCAGCTGGCACTCCTGACTGTACACAGTGGCGGGACCCCCGTGCTTGCTCTGTGCCAGGCTTGTCCTTGGCAGGCATGAAATCCAGGCCGATAGTGTGAACTGAGTGCAGCCTGCTGGGCTGAGTGGTAGGATCCAGCCCAGTGGTCCAAGCAGTACTCAGGCAGAAGGCACCAACACCACAGAGGTTTTGGCTGGCAAGGCAACATCCTAAGGATCCTGTGTCATAGGTACATGAAAAAGGTGGGCAGGAAATTTTCATAATATCTTTGACTTCAAAGGTATAACCTCTGTATATCTTTCAAATTACAAATGGGAACCATTCAAAAGTGTTTTACTAAGGGAAATAATTTGATTTTAATCAGTAAATTTGATTAAGAAAAAAGGTTGAATACAAGGAAGACTGAGTGCTATGCCTTCATTTATAACACATTGTTGAGTAAAAGTAGAATCAGGATGAGGAAAGTCATCCTACCACTGTCCAGAGACACAGGAGGTAGGAATAAATTAAAATGAGGCAGTGGGGGCAGGGAGGTTGGGTTATTCAAGCTTGTAGTAAATATTTACTGAGAGTTGACTCTTAACAGGTCATCTCAGATGAGGCCATGTGTTATTTGGAAGTAAGAAGGGCCTTAACTAAGAAACTGAAGAACTAAAATTTAAGAAAAATAAATAGTGATAGTGCTTGAGTCCTTGACAATAAAAGTGGACCAAATATGCAAGAAAAAGTTCAAATGCATGAGAGAAAAGCAAAACATGCTCAAATTAACTTCTCCCCAATTAAACATAAACTAATAGATAATATCAGATATGACATTTAAAACATTTTAAAAAGCAAAACAACATAGACATTGAACTAAAATAATAGATACAGGCCAGTCTATCCATCAGGAGAATATCCACTCTTTATCAGTTCTGGATACAAGATTCTTCTCAATAGATGCCAATTTATATTTAATTATTCAGAAATGCTTGGAATAACTTCAGAGACTATTCTTTGAAAAATAAAATTATTAACATTCAGTGTCTTCTTGATCTAGCCCATGATTCTATTTTTTTCTTCAGCTAGTTGTTTAGTCACCTATTTAGATTTTGAATTTTCAGCAGTTTTTAATAATGCTGACTTTTCATAGCTTTTGCTGCAATTTAAATTACAATTTCCACCAATATTTCTTTTCAGCATTATAATGTGCTTAGTGATATTAAGAAGTATAATTGCTCTTTGGCTGAAAATGCATGGTCCAATAAACATGAAGATGATTTTCTTCTGCCTTCTCAAAAAATAGCTTCTGAACTGGAGCTAACAAATATACCATAGATTTTTAAGAAATACGTTTATATATAACAAAATTATAAGTGTGTATGTGTGTGTATGCATTGATGTCTTTCCAATATGACATATGGTATGTCTTATTTTTTTTTTATTTGCAGACCCAGATTGAGGAATTACATAGATATCTCCATCTCTTTTTTTGCCTTCCCTTCAAAAGAACAAAGCCTTCTGAAATGACTTACTCATGCCACAGATATAATTTTTTTGGAAAAAAATTAAGCTTTTGGATGAAATAGTTGGGTAAAATTATCAAAATGTGAACTCAACTAAATAAAAATTTTAAATTTCTGCTACCTACCGACTCCCCAGATATGTACTATAAAGATATACCTATCCTTCAGGCTTCCAGTCATTCAATAGATATTTCTTGAGCATTTACCGTAAGCCATGTGTTGCTTCAAACATTAGTGACAAACAAAACAGACAAGGTTTCTACCCTGATGTTTACCCATATTGTAGTAAAAGGAAGGCAGTAAACAAACCAATGTATATTTGACTTATGAGAAAATGATAATTATTATGGGTATAAAAGAAAGCTGGATAAGAGCAATATGCTAGCCTGTCTCTAGAATGGCATTGGATGATCTTTGTTTTCTGTTATTCACACTTGTATATGCCATCCCTGACAATACTAGTTTAATACATTCTGTAACAATATTTGAATACAATTTATAGTAAATTGTTACCAATAGAATGCAATAAAAAACAATGGTATATCACTTCTAAGATTAAGTTATAAAAATACTCCAGCTTCTGTCTATGTATATCCTCTCTCTAGGATGACTTGCTCTAGTGAAAGCCAGCTGCCATTACAAATGTACGCTATGGAAGCCTGCAGAGAGGCTCATGTGACAAGAAACTTAAGTCTTCTGCCAACAGCCACTGAGAAACGTAATCCTGCCAATGATCACGTGAGTGAGCTTGGAAGCACATCTACTCCCATTTGGATTTTCAGATAAGACTGCAGTCCCAGTTCATGGTTTGTCTATAAATTCATGAGAGATGTTGTCCCCAACCACCCAGCTAGGTGACTCCTATATTCCTGACCCCAACCACCCAGCTAGGTGACTCCTATATTCCTGACCCCAACCATCCAGCTAGGTGACTCCTATATTCCTGACCCACAGAAACTATGAGCTAATAACTGTTATTCAAGATGCCAGATTTGGGGGTAATTTCTTATACAGTAACAGATAACTAATATGTAGAATACAAAGGGAAATCTTGGGACAGATAATTTTTGCTTGGTTTTATTTTTGTTCTTTGAGATAGCATATTGCACTCTTGCTCAGGCCAGAGTGCAGTGACAAAATCATAGCTCACTGCAACTCTGGACTCCTGGGCTCAAGTGATACTTCCACCTCAGCTTCCCAAGTAGCTGGGACCATTACCCAAAGAAGTTTTTATTTGGTCAATTTTCATGGAGTTTTTTGACTTTGAATCATAAGACTAATCAAAGTTTACCCCTCAAAAATAAGTTTAATATCATTTTATGTAATTTCTCATTAGTCAAATATATGTTTTCTCTTTAAATATTGTTTAATGATTTTTCTGATTAAGAAAGTAATGTATTTTTCTAATGTACAAAGAGTAAATATTACAGAATATTTTAAATTGTATCCACTGCTACAAACAGAGTTGATGACTATTTTAGCAGTTTTTTCCCTATGCTTCTTTTACCATGGTATGCATTAGTTTATGTTATCCCCTAAATAAAAATAAATCATGTTATATATGCATTTGTCAAACTTCCTGTTTTACATATACCTTAAACAGCTCATATAGGCATAACTCATTTTTTTCCAAGCACCCTACCATTCTTAGTTCTATGGATAAGAATTAACTCAAGTGGGTTAATTCATATTATTTGGGTTAATTATAATTATTTTCTATCACAGAAAACATTTTGTAAAATTTTGTGTGTCTTTAACAAAATATAAATCATATTATTTAGAAAATGCTGGACTTGTAAACTGTGTCTTAAAACCCCTGAAAGAATAAATTCAATTTACCAATTTTCTTCAAGATTTAATGGTTATTTATTAAACATTTAATTAGTCAAGTTAAAATGATTTGGTTGTTAAATACAATGCAATGTCTAAGTATTATATCCTCAACTCTGTATTTTTTCTTTAAAAAATAGTAATTGATTGGTTGAAAGTATAATTAAAATAGGAAACACTAAAGATAGAGTGGCTACTAAGTCAGCTGACATTATATTTTTAAATAGAAACATATTAAATGGACTGCACCAAACTAAAAATGGGGTTGTCAGATATCATATCATATGAACAGTGAAACTTCAAAGTAAAATGTAAACAAAGTCCATTTTACAGCTCTTTAAAAGAGGGAGAAGTATGCCCCTTCTTTAAGCTGTTCAGATCATGGACAAATTCCTCACAACCTGAGGGATTGTTGCAGAAGCCTATCTTAACCTATGCCATTAAATAATCAACTGATCTAACCAGAGCAGAGCCCTCTACAATTCACCAAATATTTGAATGCATTTTCACATCTCTTAGACTTCCTTTCATTAGGCAATTCCATATGACCAGTATTGAGCAAAAGAGTTCTGTGTCACTCTCAGACTGAATTTTTAAGAGCTTTCATATGACTCTCCACCTTTCCAAGATAGAAATTAACCTTTATTATGTTAAGCCACTGAAATTTTAGGGTTTAATGTGCTACTACAGTATAAACTGGCCTATCTGCTTAACGCATGAATTCACTTCTTATAATTTTATACTCACCAAACAAATAATATAGTTTTGCTCTTCACCTGTTATTAATGATTGAGAAATAATGTGTAATTAAGCCAACATGAACATTTCTACATCTGTGCAAGTACATGCTCTGTTGTCAATTAATATATTAGCAGTAGGATTTTATGCATCAGTCTTCTCACTTTGGCTAATTTTAGCCTGCCTAAAAGATAACCACTACTCCTACATATAAGGTTTATATAAAACTGTATATAAAAAGGTTTCAGAGCTTAAAATACTGAGGTACTGGCACTGAACTATAGTATTTCCTCCATGTATAGTACCCTATCCTTATGCACACAAACACCCACGTCCATCCTTGAAAAATCTTTTGATATATTTCACTCTGCCATTGCTGCATGTGGTTTTTATTTAACCACTTTTTACAACATACATTTAGAGAAACATTTATTAAAATCATAGAAGTGTGTTATAGATAAAAATAAATAATACATTTTATTTTTATCCAAGTAGCATTAAATATAATTCAACATATAAGAGGAGTTGAGACACTTGCCCTCAAGATGCTATAAAAGTGCCAACTTCAGAAAACACAGTTCATCTTTATGTTTAACCTTATCTCTTGGTACAATTTAAGTATATTTTTATATGTTCTGGTTTTGGTTCAAACAGGATTTTCAGTAACTCATTCCTCAGAATTCTCTTTCAGAAGCCAGCCATCATTTTTAGTCTTCTTTATATATCCTATTTTCCAGACAATTTTGCATTATCATCACTAACTGTTGTACTCTTTGAATTATTTCCAGATATTTTTTCTTTTTAAAAGTTTATAATATAAAATCTTCAAAATATTCTAAACTTGCTACAAATTTTTAAAATCTCCATGTCTACTGATAATACTTGCCAGTTAATGGCCCACCACCATTTTTCCAAGTAAGAATAAGGCCTGAGAGATAGCATCATTTGACAAATAAAATGCTCCGCTTTTAAAAAGTAGTGATGATAATATGATGCTGCAGCTAATATATATATATATATATATATATATATGGCTTACTGCATCCATGGGTTGTGCATCCACAGATTCAACCAAATGCAGAATGAAAATATTGGAGAAAAAAGATGTTCTGGACTTGTACAGACTGTTTCTTGTCATTCCTTAAACAGTACAGTGTAACAACTATTTTCAGAGCATTTACATTGTATTAGGTATTATAAGTATTCTGGAGATTATTTAAAATATACAGAAGGATGTGCATAGGTTATATGCAAATACTATGCCACTTTATACCAGAGACTTGAGCATCAGGGATTTTGTTATCCAGGGGCTTCCTGTTACTAATATCCCACAATAACCAGGGATGATGACATTTCTGTTTTTTTCACTGATGTCAGAATAAATCCAAAATGCAATAAAATCTAGTTGGTGATTTTAGCCAGTGATTAAATTTGCCGTATTTTTATAGAGATGCCAAGTAAATGGAGGACACATGATTTACAGCATTTGTTTCTATATAGCTTGAATGCTATTTTAAATTTAATCTGAAATATTTTTATTTTAAGTATAATGGTAAATTTAATTTATATTATTTGAAAAATACTATGCTTTGTTTAAATACGTTGGTTTGGTTTCTATTTTTTATGTTATATATTTCTTAGTTTGATTTTCTACAAATACTATAGCACAGATATTGTATTTTTAAATTTTCATACATTCTTAAGTTTATATGATTTTATTTATCAGATAATAATGGGCCCCTGGTTAAAGCATTCTACAACTAACTCCTTGGATTAATTAATAGATCAGACCTGAAATTAGATGACAGGTCTCTATGCTTATCTCTTAGTACATTGTTTAGGAGACAATAATCCTATTGTTATGTCCCTTATATTCTAAATTCCATTCCTAGACTCCAAAATAGTGTTTACCAAAGGTTTTTTTGGAGAACACTATTTCCTCAATGTATTTCATCAGAAACAGTCTCCAAAGTCAACTAAGTATAGGAAACAGGACATGCAGAACATTATTTTTAAGATATTTAAAATGTCCATTAATGTATTTAAGACTTTGAGGAATACTGGAGTAAATAAACCTGTTTAATTTTTTTCACAATTAATTTGACCACATAGTTGTTTATGTACATGTGTTTGTAATCATATGCACAATATCTATTAATATTCCAGGGAACTTTTGCAAATAATGTTCCAAAAGAGTTATTTGCAAAACGTTTTTCTAGATTAGTGATTCTCAGCCTCAATAATTTGGGGATGGACAGTCTTGTTGTGGAGTGGAGACCGTTGTCTTCTGCACTGTAGGATGTCTAGCAGCATCCTGATCTCTACCCAGGAGATTCCATAGCAGTCAAAAATGCCTGCCAACATTGCCAAATATATTTTGGAAAGCAAAATTGCCCCCAGTTAAGAAGTACTGCATAAGGCAGAAAATGCAAAGCTCTTTGCAGGCAATGCAGTGTTTCTCACCTCAGTTTGTAATATTACAATGAGCATTTTGGTAGAAGAGTTGAGAAGAAAAAAGGAAAGAAGATAGAGAATATTAAATGCTCATATCATTGACTGGCTGGTTTCTGAGGTTCCTGGTTCAGAGGAATGATGTGTGGGACTCTGCTCTTAATATCAATGCAGTTATCTGATATGAAACAATTTCCCTTTATACTTTAAAATGGTAAATAATTTTCAATTTCTTTTTTTAATATACTTTAAGTTCTAGGGAACATGTGCAGAACGTGCAGGTTTGTTACATATGTACACATGTGCCATGTTGGTGTGCTGCACCCATTAACTCATCATTTACATTAGGTATATCTCCTAATGCTATCCCTCCCCCCACCCCATGACAGGCCCCGGTGTGTGATGTTCCCCATCCTGTATGTAAGTGTTCTCATTGTTCAATTCCCACCTATGAGTGAGAACATGCGGTGTTTGGTTTTCTGTCCTTGTGATAGTTTGCTCAGAATGATGGTTTCCAGCTTCATCCATGTCCCTACAAAGGCCATGAACTCATCCTGTTTTATGGCTGCATAGTATTCCATGGTGTATACGTGCCACATTTTCTTAATCCAGTCTATTATTGATGGACATTTGGGTTGGTTCCAAGTTTTTGCTATTGTGAATAGTACCACAATAAACATACGTGTGCATGTGTCTTTATAGTAGCATGATTTATAATCCTTTGGGTATATACCCAGTAATGGGATGGCTGGGTCAAATGGTATTTCTAGGTGTAGATCCTTGAGGAATTGCCACACTGTCTTCCACAACAGTTTAACTAGTTTATAGTCCCATCAATAGTGTAAAAGTATTCCTATTTCTCCACATCATCTTCAGCACCTGTTGTTTCCTGACTTTTTAATGATTGCCATTCTAACTGGTGTGAGATGGTATCTCATTGTGGTTTTGATTTGCATTTCTCTGATGGCTAGTAAAAACCCTAGAAGAAAACCTAGGCAGTACCATCCAGGACATACGCATGGGCAAGGACTTCATGACTAAAACACCAAAAGCAATGGCAACAAAAGCCAAAAATGACAAATGGGATCTAATTAAACTAAAGAGCTTCTGCACAGCAAAAGAAACTACCATCAGAGTGAACCGGCAACCTACAGAATGGGAGAAAATAATTTTAAATTTCTTACGCTTTATATCTTTGGTCACCCCCTATCCTCCCATCACAAATATTTAAGTATTCCTTGGACCCCTTCTTAACTCACTTCCACAATCTACCTAGATAACTTTAACTATTGTCATGGATTCAAATAATATCACTATTTGATACATCTAAGTGTGTCACAGTTCCTGACTTTTATCCAGAAATTTTCATTTGAATTGAAAACTTCAAACTCACTGTCTTACTCCTTAAAACTTGTTCTTTGTCTTTAATCTATTGCAGCATCACCATTCCCCTGGTAACCTGTGAGAAATCTGTCATCTTGATTCTTCCTTCTTTCCAATAAACTTCTTCATAGAGCAGCCAAATTCTTCTATCTAGCCTTTTATGGTCCATTTAAAAACATCTTTCCCCCTCATTTTTTTACACTGATCTATTTCAGGCCTTTATCACTTTCACTAGTTCCCTATCTGGTTAGCCAGTCACAAGTCTCTTCTTGAATTATTTGTTCACAAGGCTCTCAAAGCTACCTCTCCAAAATGTATGTCTATTTATTTTTCATTAATTTCATGTATACAAAAATGTTTCTGGAACATTCACTATGTATCAGGAATTGTGCCAGACATTGGAGATGAAGTGATAAAGAGGATGGTGATGACTCCTTCCCCTATGGAATCTATATTGTAGTGAGGGAGATAGACAACAAATAAGCAAACACTAATAAATAAATAAATATGATAACTTCTTGGAAAAAAATAAACAAGAGGCTGAGATAGAATGTAACTAGGGAAGTGAAGAGAGGGGTATATTCTAGACAATGTTCTCTGGGAAGGCCTCTGAGGAGGGATATTTAATTTAAACCCTAAAGGAGAAAGAGAAGCTAGATCTATCAGTCAGAATTTGTTTGAAGAAATAGAATCACTAGGAGTGATATATAGGGATTTCTTATAGGAATTTGAGCTCACATGATGGTGGGGGATGATTAAATAGCCTATATAAGGCTTCCATGTTGGCATCTGGTGCTGGAGGTTGAAGTCAGCAGAACAGGAATTTGGGAAGGGTACATGGGTGTGAAGTGTGGAGAACAAGGAGAGCCTGAAACAGGCAAGAACGGACTAGAACTTGCACCAGTATCTCACCCCCTCCAGGCTATCAACCTCAATGATTCAAATGAACTTCAGGATAAATTAGGACCTTTGTCATGGAGATCCACATGTACATAGTTCAGGAGTTGAAGAAATCAAAGGAGGATGTGGTAGTTCTTGAAGGAGCTATAGGCTCAACTGTTGTTCCTTGCTAACAAGATGAGCTAGCCAATGAGAACAAAACTGTGTGAATCACAAGGGTACCTGCATCATAGTTCCCTTGAACCAACTTTCCACATGTGAAAATAATATATCTGTTACTCCTCTCTGCCTTTCAGATCTCATTTCAAATATCTCTTATATTCACTACTAATTTGGAACTGAGGCAGGGAAGAGAATTCTGGGAAATGTGATTACCACTTATCTAAATTGGCACAATAATAAATTGTCAAACTAGTCAGGCAAGGAGTAGGGAAGAGTGCATTGTAGGAACTGGGACTAATATGTGTGAAATCCTTGAGGCATGATAGCACTTGCCATGTTTGATGAATTGAGAATTAAAGTGACTATACAACAGTAAAGGGGCAGGAGAAAAGCATGAAATGATATTATGGAGATAAGCCACGTGGAGATTGCACAGTGTCACAGAAGTTACGCAGATGACAAATTGTCAATGTTTCCTTCAAAGTCTTCTGTTTTTCCCCACATTAAGCCCAAGTTTCTTGACTTTGGATCCTAGCTGCAAATGGATTTATAACATCTAAAGCAGTGGTTCCAAACTCAGAATGCACATTATAGTCACCTGGAGAGGTGCTTAAAATCCCATTCTTGGGCCAGACTGCCAGAGATTGTATTTTCAATTGGCCTGAGCTGTGTTCCTGGTATCTATTGAACTAGAGATGAGCTCACATCAGGGTGCTCCTGTTTATTTGAGTGTTTTCATAAGCAATTAGCCATACTTTTCCTTGGGTCCTAGAAGATGGAAACATAAGACAGTAAAGATAGATCTAATTAATTAAAGATAAACTATTGACTGTTTTTGTATGGTAATACACTAAAATTTTGCTAGCACCTTCTCATATTCTTAATATAGAAAATATCTTTAGATGATCACTTCAATTTGAGATGACTTACTTTGTAGATGGATTTCCAAGGTCATTTTCTTTTATCACCTCTTCCTTATTCCAATTTTTTGTATGATGTAATTTTTCTTTACTCTTCCACTCACACCCCCTATCTTCTTCTAAGAGAAATTTTAAAAGATTGAATATGACCTGTGAGGAGAATTAAGAATTGTATTTTACTGTCTACTGGACTCTTTAGATATGCCTGATATTTAAATAGAAAGACTTTGGTAAGTAACAGATTATTCCTTCCTTCTGTTCACCATGATAAGTACAGCCAAGATGTGCTGAAAATGAGATATTAGAACGAAGTAGAATTCTTAGAAGCCAAGGGTTAATTTTTAGTTTTTAAGTTTTAAATTTTCATAGGAATCAATTGCATCTAACATTTTCTATCTCCTTTTTACTACCTATTTCCAAATAATTCAAGGTAACATTACATTTTGTTAACTTTAATCATTTTATAGTGGATCCATACGTAGAAAGTAGATATTCAGTATGTTGATTTATGGAACATTTATATGGCAATATAAAAATAATCAATAATATAAGAGTAATGTCACTGCAGGCAAATTGCTTCCTTAATTCCTTTACTGTGTGACCTTAGCCAAGTAACTTTGCTTCATTGTTTCTCAGATTTCTCATCTACAAAATGAGGATGATGATATCTTATTATAATATTCAGTTATGCCTATTATGAATTGTGAAGATTAAATGAGTTACTGTATGAAGTATGAAGTGCATAGAACAACAATGGACACTATAAACTGTCATTTACTATGTGTGTATGCATTTATGTGTATATGTATGTATTGCATATATATGACTTTAGTGTTGTGCATGTATGCATTTATACATGTATAGATATTATGTTGTATAGATATTTATATATGTATAGATATTTGTGTATGTATAGATATTTATAACTTTTCATGTAAAAGTTGTTGGAAAGTAGACACTAAGAATTTTTTAATTTAACAAATAATATCACAGCATATTACTCCTGAGGATCTGAACAATTGAGATATATTAGCTGGCTCAGAGGAGGGAAGATGAAGCTGCAGGTATGAAGCTTATTTATTTGTCATATCACTGAGAGATTTTGAGGTCTTACATGGAATAGAAGGGAAAGTGAGATTCTCACAATTACCATGCAGCAAGATAGCATTTCAATTATTATGCTGTTTGGGAAAGGTTATGGTCTCAAAAGGTAATTTTTATGCAGCATTATTACAGGGTATGCAATTGATTCCATTCATTTCAGTACAGGGAATCAGAATCATAGATGATGAATCTCTTTTCAAAGAAAAACACTTTCAGCTTTAGAAAGTAATTTATGAGGCTACATTCATGTCATGAACAGAATAAAGAATGGTAAGAGACAGTAGGATTGCCCCATTATTTACCAATGATCCCTCTTTCTTTTCTTTGGTATCTATTACTCTAAGAAGTGGTGTTTATTGGTTCTTATTTTTCTCTCTCATGTGAATAGCACGGTTGCTGTGCTCCTCTTCACAAGGTCATGTTGGCTTTCCTCCTCCCCCTATTGCTTTTTTCTGCTGCTATAAATTACACACACACCACTGAATCTCAGCCAAAAACAAAGATCAAGATAACTGCTTCAACTAGGAATAATCTTTATTGTTGTTTAATTTCAAAAGACACTGTATAGTCAGCAAAAATAATAGTTACCTCTGATGCTCCCAGTTGTTCCAATGAGAACATAGAGCACAGACCTGTGGAATCATAATTTTAAAGCCAAAGAATTTAGCTACTCGTGTCTCCTCATTTACAGATGAAGAAATACAGGTCCAGAGAAGTAACACAGACATAGCTGAGTTTAAGCCTCTTTCTAGTAAACCAACTACTATGATCAAATATAAAATCACTATAATCATGAGTAAAAAAGACCAAAAATTTTACCTAAAGAAGCCAAGTAATTATAAGAGGAAATGGAAGATTCTAACAAGCAATATTTAAAAATGGTGAAAATAAAAAGAGCTGGGGGCAAAGAAACACATAGGACACCTTATTCTAAAGAGAGCCATCACAAATGTGATCAGATATCTCAAGATCTTATTAGGAGTTTTAAATCCATTTCTGCTACTAGGTAAAAATATTACTAGTACTTTTATTTCTCTTCCTCAAATGGTCAAATATCTAGAAACTATGCCATATGAGATACAGTTGAAGTTGATGATGCTTGTATTAAATATATGCTTTTAGTATATATGTATTTATGTATTTATGCTAAGTCTATAAAAGAAAGGACTTTGTAAACACATGAGTAGTATATAAAATTTTTTGAAGGTCTATTTAATGAAAAGGATACCAAAGAGTTTATGCAAACTGTAGAGAAAACTAGGAGAAATAAGTGAGAAATACTTTTTGCTAAATATAAAAAAGACAGATAGTAGGCAACCCAATTACTGGCAGTGTTCAAACAGAAAAGGAAGACCAAGTTTTAGGAACCAAATGCCAGGGATGCTTTATCGACAATAAATAATGCAAAGTTTATTCAAATAATACTCGAGACCTTTCTCACTAAGATTCTCTGAATCATGGCACAAAATAAAAGAGATGCATAGTTCGTTTGGCAGATGGATAGTCAAAATGGAGAATTCCAAGTAAAAAAAAATTAAAGTACCCAAAGGCCTCATCCCTTCCATCTACTTAAATAAATATAATACCATTCTTTAAAATCTATTCTATATTCCTTGATGATATCCATTCCCACTTGACTTGTAATTATACATCTTTTTTTTTTTTTTTTTTTTTTTTGAGACAGAGTTTCGCTCTTGTCGTCCAGGCTGCAGTGCAGTGACGCGATCTCCGCTCATTGCAACCTCCGCCTCCCGGGTTCAAGCGATTCTCCTGCCTCAGTCTCCCGAGCAGCTGGGATTACAGGCACACCCCACCACGCCCAGCTAATTTTTAGTAAAGACGGGTTTCACCCTGTTGGACAGGCTGGTCTTGAACTCCTGACCTCAGGTGATCCATCTGCCTCAGCATCTCAAAGTGCTGGGATTACAGGAGTGAGCCACTGTGCCCGGCCGACTTGCAATTATCTTAATATAATTTATTGTAATCTACAGTTCCGGCTTAGAAACATCTTTCAAGGGACTTAATTTTCTCATCTGTGAACTCCTACCAAACGCATTACCAGTCACGTTCAATTTGTCCTGTGATCGATCACATTCTGTTCTATTTCATTCTTATAACACTTAAAACATTTCATTTTAATTAGCTGTTTACATGTCTATCTCCTCCACAGGAATACGAGTTCATTGAAAGTGAAAACATTGTTTTGTTTGTATTGTATACTCAGTGCCTAGCAGTGTGCGTGGCATATTGCAAGTCTCCAGTAAAATTTGTAAATTAATGCATATACAAATGACTAAATTAAAAAAAAACTTATAATCTTATATGGTAACTTAGAGTGGCGCTCTTTTTTTTTTTTTTTTTTTTTGAGACGGAGTCTAGCTCTGTTGCCCAGGCTGGAGTGCAGTGGTGTGGTCTCTGCTCGCTGCAAGCTCTGCCTTCCGGGTCATGCCATTCTCCTGCTTCAGCCTCCCGAGTAGCTGGGACTACAGGCGCCCGCCACCATGCCCGGCTAATTTTTTTGTATTTTTAGTAGAGACGGAGTTTCACCCTGTTAGCCAGGATGGTCTCGATCTCCTGACCTCATGATCTGGCCGCCTCGGCCTCCCAAAGTGCTGGGATTACAGGCGTGAGCGTTCGCGCCCAGCCTAGAGTGGCACTGTTAAGGGCTGAGCTCATGTCTTATATTTTATGCTACCCCACAGCTCTTGTTGAATTTCACAGCACATAGCAAACGCTTAGTGTTACTACATGTTATAATTTAACTGAGTTAACCTTTAGCTTATTTCCACTGTGTTGTTCTATAGCACCATGCTATGCTACATTATGTTTTGATTTATATGCTTTACATGTACACTTATGTAAAGTGAAGTTACTTTAGAACTTATCATTTATAAAATTATTATAATTGATAGTCTTCCACAGTCTTGAAATCTACTGTTTTCCATGCTGCTATTTAAGGAACTCTAGACATACATACCTACAGGAAAAAGAAATTAAAAATCAAATAACCCTGACTCTAATGGATGTTTACTATGATTGGAATATCTCACTGAAAACAGAAAAGACAACATGTCAACTGGTATTTAGTTTAAGTTGTTACTCATTCAACAAGCATTTATCAAATATTCACTCTGCAAAAAATTCTATAGCAGCTGCTAAGGTTAGGAAGATAAGACTTTCACTTTTCCTTTTTCTTATGTAAAAATGGCTATAGCAAGAACTAACATTTATTTAGCCCTTTTTTTCAGTCATTATGCGAAGCCCTAAATATAAATCATCACATTAAATTTCCCTAGTTACTGAATAAAGAGAATCATTACAGTTCTACAGATGAGGGAACTGCAGCTTAGAGAGATTAAGTGTCCTGCCCAATGTGCCACACCTAGAGAAAGCTCTAGTTAGAGTTCACACTTTATAGAACTGCCTGGTGATCTTGGGTCACACCTTCATTCACACAGAGCCTCTATCCAGAGCACCCATTTTCCCTGAACAACTTGCGGAACTAAACCATGCTCAAATATATTTCATATGGTGTACTTTGTTGGACATCTGAAGTTTTATTTTTAGAATTATAAAGAACAAAATGTGACAAGCTTGAGTTGTAACAAAGACACTATCCCTTCTCTCCATCACATCTGAACAGCCCTCCACTCCTTCCCAAAGTTTCACTTGGATGTGGAGTTCTTATTCTAGGTTCCCCTAGGGGGCCTTTTATTCTTCAGCAGAGAGAGTTTTAAAAGCAGTGGGAGAAAAGATGAATTCCTGCGCTGTCACTTGCTAGTTCTGTAAATTGTTATGTAACTTGACGGAGACTTTATGTTCTAATCTGTGAACAGAATAGGAAATGGCTATTGAAAATAAGAGATATCAACCTCATTGAGGGCATCTGGTGACAGGGTCAGGTGGCAACATAGCCACTACAAAATTTTCTAATGGGCAAATTTTGACAGCGTTGCTGAAGATATTCATTTAATCAGGGTCAATATTCAGTCAGCATGTCATGATAAGCCAATAGTGGTAATTAAAACACTGAAATACTTCCCTAATAGTAAATCACTGCTACTCTTTGTCCTGTGTGCCTTTTTACTTCCCAGATTAATGCCTTCACCCCCTTCTCTTGATCTCCCAAATCTCCCTCCTGTCCTGAAAATTAAAGGCCATGCATGGCCCAGCAGGACTTCTCTAGATCCTTGCTCCCAATCCACAGCTTACATCCTTTTTAACTAAACAGAACTCTTGCTATAACTGTCGTAAAATTAAAAAAAAAAAAAGCCTCTTGCTTTTAGCAACTATTTCTTGAGTATACTAAGTACCTCTCAGAATGAGACATGAATGGCCCTGTCAGAGAATTCATGGTTTCTACACAACCTTTTGGAAAAAAGAACCAGTTTCAAAGAAATGAGAAGTAGTGCTGGCAGCTGTTTGGGAATATGATTATAGACTGATTTTAGGAAGTGCTGAGAGTAATCAGTATGCTACACAATTTTCGTAACTGTTTAAACTGCTCTCTCTACCACCTAAGTAGCTAAGGTTTAATGAGAATTGGAGATTTAAGCATTCAGTTTTATTCTCTACTATAAGGTATAAATTGTTTGTGTTCTTCTAAGTAGTTTATAAACTCACAGGAAGGCTTGGCACCTGGATTCTCATTGACATTTGGTTCTTGCTGAATGTTGCATGTGCTGCAAAGCCATTTATTACTTTACAGCAATTTTTTCTTCACCTTAGTCACTAATGACTCATTACTATCCATTATGGCCCAGCTATTCAACTTCTTTATGGCATAAGCTTGCATTTCATTTTCAAAAAATCTGTACTTTCAATTTAAACCAGAAGAGCCATTGATGTACAGATGCAGAATATGCTTGAGTAAGCTTTCACATGGGAAATATTTTTCTGCAACATAAAACTTGTTTCATTGAGAGAAAGTGAAAATGTTGACACCCAGAAAGCAACTGATCAGATCTTAGTCATTAACAGATTACCATATCAAGTATAAGTAGACAAGAGAGAACAGTTTGAGTTGAAGACAATATGAGCGCAAAAAACTTCTCATATTAATAGTGAAATATATTTTACAGTTAGTACTATACTCACCTAATGAATAATAAATTACACATTGAGAAATAGACTCTATTGAAAGCACCATATAAGGGAGGAAAGACTTTCCCTCTGCTCTCCTGGTTCAACAGCTGGATGTATGAAATAAACTGACACCTGGCAAATTAACAGAAGAAAAGGCATACGGACTTGCCAGTTTTTAATATTACATGCATGGGACATCACAGAAAAAAAAAGTGAATACCCTTCAAATTGGTAAGATTTGACAACATATAGACCATCTTAATAGGGGAAGGAGAGGAGGCTGTAGATCATTTGGGGAGAGTAAATGACTTTTAGAAAAGATCAGTGGGTCCTTAGAATAACAGATGGGAATTCTGATAATTTGTGACAAAGTTTGTCTCGGTGTGGTGTTGACTTCTAATCTTTTCTCTGATAGGAGTCAATTTTTTCTGCTGATTAAACAATAGCCAGGGAAGGGATTTATGACAATTTAGATTTCTTTTTTCTTTTTTTTTAAGATCTGACTTTAGACAGAACGAGTGTTTACAGAAAGTCTCTCCCTACCTTTGCTATTTTTCAAGCACCTTCAAAATAATCAAGATACCAGGGTGGCATATGTTGGGGCAGCATGGCCCAAATTAATTTGTAATAATATTTTGGGGTGATACATTCTAGTCTCCAACCATGGAAACTAGGTACTAGAACCTAGATATTGGGTCTGCCATTCATAGATGGATTCATAGAGAATGGGAATGTCAATGTAGTTATTAAAATTGATTAGTCCACTATAATCCTACAAAGAATTTATAAAGGCAAGTCACCCCTGAAGCCATGTTCTCTGCAGCTCAAGAAGTTTCCAGCTTCAATTACTTTCACAAGATTTAATAAATTAAATCAGTTCTCTCCATCAAGTTTTGTAGTTACTTTACATAATAATGAATCTTAAGTGGGAATTTGACTGTAGGACCAATATACAAGTAGATTAATTTCTGTATGTTACCTCAGAGGGGCTTATGTGGCTATGCAGTTGTGTGGACACTGAAGTTAAACTAAACAAAGGGTTTCTTTTTTGAGTCTAAATTGAATGTAAAATAAATTTAAACATGATGCCAGTCATCAGTGTTATCTAAATATGCATTGGCTGTTTTCCTTGAGAAAAGTACAAAATCAGAAATATCTCAGTGATATATAAATGTGAAAATAGCAGATTGGTGAGAGCCCTGAAAGATATTTGATAGTCAAAATGAAAGAAGTATATAAGGGAACATAGACTCAATTGAATTTATTATAAAACCGACTGAAACTTGTCTCCACCTAACACTATAGGAACCAAAGTTTACTTTTCTGATTCACACTTTTTGAGAAAGCTTCCTTCCTGAAAAGAATCTTGTGTAGAATTGTTAAATATTAGAGATTTAAAGATTGCTTCTTTTTTTTAAGATTTCGTATACCATCTCTTTCCTGAGTAATGAGTTGTTTTTTTTAACTTCTCCAAAGTTACTGAATAATATTTAGGATCTAATTTAAAGTATCCAAATGTGGTTACTGAAGAAGATATAGACCAACAAAATTCAGAGAAAAGAAAAGAAAAAAAAGACACAACAAATAACAGAAAAACAACTTGAAATCAATTAATTAATAAATCCATTCTAATTACTTTTACAAGATTTATGCATTGAAATTGTTTACTAAAGCAAGCATTAAGTTCTAACTCTACTACTTAGTATGTAATGTTTACTCCCTTAGCATCTATTTTTAATGCCAGGGTGATTGAAACAACAGACATTCATTGACTACTTATTGTAGGCTAGACACCAATAATTTCTAATGCAATTTGCTATAGTCAAATTTCATGACTGGTTTTTGAAATGCTTAAAATTCAAAAAACACAATGAGCAATAAATAATAATTTGAAACATTGTAATTGATTTTGTAATATGAAACTTATGATATTGGAGCTTTTCAGGAAAGGGGGAGCTTGAATTAGGAAGAAGTACTCAAGGAAAACAAAGTAAAAAAAGTCATAGAAGTGGAGGGTACAGAGCTGGAAAATTAGTATAATGTCCCTAGGTAGTAAAAATGCAGGAATAATTTTTAAAGCTCAAAATACAAAATGACAAGGTGACAGTATGCAATAAGTAGAGAATATACATATGACACAGGAAAGAGAAATCTGAATTAATTGGAATATCTAAATGGGAATTGACTTAAGAGATAGGTTTTAGTGTCCACAGCAATGTTGGCAAGTGGGCACACACATACACACAAAAATGGGTACTGATGGAATATATTATATCCAAGAAAGCCACATAATGTCTCATTATAATGTTAATATTTATGATAATGGTAATATATTAATGGTAATATTTCTCATTTTAATGATAATATTTTAGTGGTGATATTCATCTATTGATGTGGTTTGGTTGTGTCCCCACCCAAATGTCATCTTGAATTCCTATGTGTTGTGGGAGGGAGCTGGTGGGAGGTGGTTGAATCTTGGGCGCAGGTCTTCCCATGTTGTTCTCATGATGGTGACTAAATCTCGTGAGATGATAGTTTTAAAAACAGGAGTTTCTCTGCACAGGCTCTCTTTTTGCCTGCTGCCATCCATGTGAGATGTGACGTGCTCCTCCTTGCCTTCCACCATAATTGTGAGGCTTCCCCAGAATGTGGAACTGTAAGTCCATGAAATCTCTTTCCTTTCTAAATCACCCTGTCTCAGGTATCTTATCAGCAGCATGAAAATGGACTGATACAGTAAATTGATACTAGTAGAGCAGGGAGCTGCTGAAAAGACACCTGAAAATGTGGAAGCAACTTTGGAACTGGGTAACAGGCAGAGGTTGGAACAGTTTGGAGGGCTCAAAAGGAGACAGGAAAATGTGGGAAAGTTTGGAACTTCTTTGACACTTACTGAATGGCTTTGATCAAAGTGCTGATAATGATATGGACAATGAAATCCAGGCTGATGTCGTCTCAGATGGAGATGAGAAACTTGTTGGGAACTGGAGCAAAGGTGATTCTTGCTATGTTTTAGCAAAGAGACTGGCAGCATTTTGCCCCTGCCCTAGAGATATGTGGAAATGTGTACTTGAGAGAGATGATTTAAGGTATCTGGCAGAAGAAATTTCTAAGCAGTAAAGCATTTAAGACATGACCTGGGTGCTGTTAAAAGCATTCAGTTTTAAAAAAGAAACAGAGCATAAAAATTTGGGAAATTTGCAGCTTAAAATGCAATAGAAAAGAAAATCCCACTGTCTGAGAAGAAATTCAAGCCAGCTGCAGAGATTTGCATAAGTAATGAGGAACCAAATGTTAATTCCCAAGACAATGGGGATAATGTCTCCAGGGTATTTTAGAGGTCTTCATGACAGCCCTAGCATCACAGGCCCAGAGGCCAAGGAAGAAAAAATGGTTTCATGGGCTGGGCTCAATGTCCCTCCCTGTGCTGTGTGCAGCCTAGGAACTTGGTGCCCTGTTTCCCAGCTGCTCTAGCAGTGGCTGAAAGGGGCCAACACAGAGCTTGGGCCATGGCTTCAGAGCATGCAAGCCTCAAGACCTGGCAGCTTCCACATGGTGTTGAGCCTGCAAATGCACAGAAGTCAAGAATTGGGGTTTGATTACCTCTGCCTAGATTTCAGAGGATGTATAGAAATGCTAGGATGCCCAGGCAGAGGTTAACTACAGGGGTGGGGCCCTCATGGAGAACCTCTGCTAGGGCAGTGTGGAAGGGAAATGTGGGGTTGGAGCCTCCACACAGAGTCCCCAATGGGGCACCGCCTAGTGGAGCTATGAGAAGATGGCCAACATCCTTCAGGCCCCTGAATGGTAGATCTACCAGCAGCTTGCACTGTGTGCCAGGAAAAGCCACAGACACTGAACACCAGCCCTTGAAAGCAGCTAGGAGAGAGACTGTATCCTGCAAAGCCACAGGGGTGGAGCTGCCCAAGACCCTGGGAACCACCTCTTGCATCAGTGTGACCTGGATGTGAGACATGGAGTCAAATGAGATAATTTTGGAGCTTTAAGGTTTGGCTGCCCTGCTGGATATTGGACTTGCATGGGGCCTGTAGCACCTTTGCTTTGGCCAATTTCTCCCATTTGGAATGGGTATATTTACCCAATGCCTTACCCCTCTTAGTATCTAGGAACTAACTCACTTTTGATTTTACAGGCTCATAGGTGGAAGGGACTTGCCCTTTCTAGGATGAGATGTTGAACTATGGACTTTTGAGTTATTGCTAAATGAGTTAAGGCTTTGGGGGACTGTTGGGAAGGCATGATTGGTTTTGAAGTGTGAGGATATGAGATTTGAGTGAGGTCATGGGTGGGATGACGTTTTTTGGCTGTGTCCCCACCCAAATGTGATCTTGAATTCCTATGTGGTGTGGGAGGGACCCAGTGGAAGGTGGTTCAATCATGGGGGCAGGTATTTCCCATGCTGTTCTTGTGATGGTGAATAAGTCTCATGAGATCTGATGGGAGTTGTTTTTTTTTTTGTTTGTTGTTTTTTGTTTGTTTGTTTTTTTGAGAAGGAGTCTTGCTCTGTTGCCCAGGCTGTAGTGCCGTGGTGTGATCTTGGCTCACTGCAGCTGAAACCTCAGCCTTCTGGGTTCAAGCAATTCTCCTGCCTCAGCCTCCTGAGTAGCTGGGATTACAGGCGAGTGTCACCACTCCTGGCTAATTTTTGTATTTTTAGTAGAGATGGGGTTTCACCATGTTGGCCAGGCTGGTCATGAACTCCTGACCTCAGGTGATCCACCCGCCTTGGCCTTCCAAAATGCTGGGATTACAGACATTAGCCATTGTGCCCAGATGATATGATGGTTTTAAAAACAGGAGTTTCCCTGCACAGGCTCTATTTTTGCCTGCTGCCATCCATGTAAGACATGACTTGCTCCTCTTTGCCTTCCATGATTGTGAGGCTTCCCCAAACACATGGAACTGTAAGTCCATTAAACCTCTTTCTTTTGTAAATCACCCAGTCTTGGGTATGTCTTTATCAGCAGCGTGAAAATGGACTAATACATCTATATATGCATAATTCAATTGAAAAGTAAGCTATACTCCTTTATCTTTCAAGGTGTGTTATACTTTGCTTTATATGTAGTAATTTTAAATGTCAACATAACCTATATTTATGTTGTGTAATAAACATAAATTGAGGATAATTGTAATGAAAATGCAATATAAAGTCTTTAATACTTTGAGCCTATAATATGATGAAATTTGAATAATGATTTAAATTTAAATACACATATTTTTGATGTGAAGGAGTGTGATCAGATAATTAAACACTTTCAAGCAAAAATATATAATATAATGGATAAACTCTGAATGCAGCAAATGGCATGGGAATGTGAGTTTAGGAGAAAAGGGAACTGACAAATTTATAATCTTGCTTATCGATATTTTTAAGTAGATGACAAATATCAGATTGATATGGTATTTAATACCAATGGATACATTTACAAGAGTAACCTAATGATGATACATTTTTGGATGTATTCAAGAAACAATGATTTTTTAGATGGTGATATTTTCATAATGTAGGAAATTACATACTTTCATATTATTTAAAGTTGTAATTAGATATTTTAGATACCAATTTACAAATATGTGTAAATGTATATAATTTTCTGATAAAACATTTTTGGATGTATTCAAGAAACAATATTAGAAAATTGAGATTCGAAAGTTTTATTGGCCTCCAGATCCATTCTTGATAAGGTAGTCACAATTTATTTAGTGCTTTGCCTTTTCACATTGGAGTGTGAGGCTTCGATACATAGTACTTTCTCATTCAATCATAAATGAATTGAAAAATTAGGCAGGACTGAATATTTGTTGTGAGAGATCCAACTGTGAATGGCTGTTGAATGCAGAAGACAATAAAAGTGGATAAAAGAAAAATGAAAATAGTAATAGATCAGATTGTGGAAAAGAATTGAAAACCAAATAGAAATTTTTAAGTTAATTATAAATGAAATGTGCATGAGTATTTTACATCGGCTATCTCAAAGGAAGTTTGAGAAGAAAAACAATGTAATACTCATTAAAGTTACATGATATTTGAGGAACACAATATCCTTAGTGCTGGTGAAATAACAGGAATAAACAATCCCAATATTATTGAATGACAATAATGGATAAAATCATGATGTTAAGATGTTAAGACTGTATAAAAATCTACAATTAACAGACAAGTTCACTATTACTGTTAATAGCTAAGTTATTTCTTACCAATTTAAAGCATTAAGAGTAGACTACTGGATAAAACGTAAAATGTCTTTAAAAACTGTCAGAATAAACAAAATAAAAACTACAATGAGATACCGTCTCATCCCAGTTAAAATGGCTTAAAATGGTACCCTTTTCTTCACATCATTGCCAGCATTTGTTACTGCCTGTCTCTTGCTTGTAGAAGGATGGTTACCAGAGTCTCGGAAAGGTAGTCAGGGTTTGGGACAATTGGCAATGGTAAACGGGTACAAACAAATAGAAAGAATGAATAAGACCTACTGTTTGATAGCACAACAGGGTGACTATCGTCAATAATAACTTAATTATACATTTTAAAATAAAGAGGGTAATTGGATAGTTTGTAACGCAAAGAATAAATGCCTGAGGGAATGGATACTCCTTCTCCATGTTGTGCTTTTTTCACATTGCATGCCTGTATCAAAATGTCTCATGTACCCCATAAATATATACACCTATTATGCAGCCACAAAAATTAAAAAAAATAAAAAACTAAGGCTAAAAATGGACAGAATATTACAAAATACTTAAATACTGATATTTAGTCAAAAACCGTGTTATCTCAAATTTACTTGGTGCTTGCTATAGACCAGGCACTATTTTAAATATTGATCTACATTAGCTAATTATAATAACTCATTACCTTTCCCTGTACACCCTCTGATAAAGGCGTTATTAACACTTACCGTGTTATTAACTTAAAAAAAAAGTCACAGTCCATGAAAAAGAAGAAAATACCTAAGACAGATAACTTATTTTTTTTATCCAATCCATAAGATAGAAAAGCTTAAAATCTGTAGCTTTCTAGAATTGAAAGACAAATTCAAGCATCTTTGTCATAGCATCTCATTTTAACAATTAAGCAATTGAATGCTGTGCCTGGGCTAAAAACACAATCATAGTTGAATCAAAATTCTTGTAATGCCTCATCCATTACCTTAATACAAGACAATATATTTTATCAACAGTATTAGGAACCTAACAATTCCTGTATCAAGTGGTTGCTTTGAAAAGTAAACTAGTTAGCATGTATAATTCACATCAAACAAAAAACAGTGCCTAGTACATAATTAGCACTCCATCAATTCGGGCTAGTATTTGGGTAGACTAGTGATTAAACTTTCTCACCTTAAAATACTTCATTTCTTTGGAAATTCTCAGATTTCTCTCATACTGTTCTGCCATCTTTAGGCCTTAAATCTTTTAAAAGTACAATTAATTACATAAGTGCTCAAAACCTAAATTTCTTTGCTAATGACCTAAAAATACTAACAATTATTTAAAACTGTTATTTAAATATTATTTAAAAGTGCTTTATTCTGTTAAAAGCTGAAAATGAGTTTACACACACTGACCCTGTACTTCCAGCAATTGACTTTTATGTCTGAACAATTTAATAATGTTTTGAATAGAGTCCTCTTGTGCTTTGTCTAATAACGTATGCAGGATTGAAGTTAACTCTGAAGCAATAATACATACCTAGGATATTTTTCTGGTGCACAATTGATTTTTAGTTTGGTGCTGCTAAAGATGGGAGGAGGTGGAAAGGTTTTAAGGAAGAGGATCTACATGCTTCTAGGAGTTTATCAGTCTCTGAGGATAGGTGAATTTTGGGTTTGAAAATGCCCTCACCTACAAACTGAAAATATCCTTAAGAACATACTTCTATTTATCCCATTTAGGTACATGGCCCTAAGGAAATACAATTATTCCTGAGGCTAAATAGAATATTGGGACTATGGTATATATATTTGTTAGAAAAAAACAAAACAGTTGCATGATTAACTCTTGAATAAATTATTGAGATGTTTTAGAATAAAACCCAAATGAACATTTAAGACTTGAAGATAAATATAAAATGTATGAGTTTGGTTAACTCAACAAAAAGAAACAAAATATTTGTAAACATTCAGAATATCAACTGAAAACTTCACTTTTTATCCAAATGTTTAGCATCATAAAATACAGTTCCTCAACTCCTTTCAACTTTTGGGGGGGAGTCAGGTGGTTTAGGAGAAACTGGTGTAATATCTATGTCACATTTTGGTCAGGAAATTACAATTGCACTGTTAACATTTTTAGGATCCTATTCTGAGTTTCTATTCTATCTACTTATTAATTATTATCTGATGGAAAATAGTGTCTATATGCACATTTATTAAGAGTGTTCTAGAACATTCCATGTAAGTAATAAAAAAATCACTCAAATAATTTTTATGTAAATTAATTTTTACTATGAGGTCAGTTTGTGCTAGATAAATCTAGAGTATATAATTTTACCATTGATGTAATTGACATCTACCACAGTTGTTAAATATTCAGTTAAGAATGCTCATAGTAAAATCTTATCAGCTTTAAAACTATTGAGTATCAGATGCAGTCTGTGGGAATTAGTGTATTCAATAAAATGTCCTCCAACATGAGCAGCTGTGTTTTGTCAAGAAGTTTCAAATCCATAATATTCAGTTCCTTCTTCCCTTCTTACATTCTACATGCACACACATTCAGCTGCCAAAATATATCTGAGAATGAAAAGGTGCAGAAAGTTAGAAAAGGAGAAAGTGATAAAGAATAAGAGACAGAGAGAGGGAGAAACAAAATAGATTGCTGTCAATTCAACATTTTTCCTTGAGTTTTTTATAAACTATGTACACATAAGAGAACTAATTACAGCAGTGATTTGCATCCATGAGCTATTTCTTTTTTAGACAGAGTCTCGCTCTGCTGCTCAGGCTGGAGTGTAATGGCGTGATCTCGGCTCACTGCAACCTCCACCTTCCGGGTTCAAGCGATTCTCCTGCCTCAGCCTCCTGAGCAGCTAGGATTACAGGCATGCGCCACCATGCCCAGCTAATTTTTGTATTTTTAGTAGAGATGGGGTTTCACGATGTTGGTCAGGCTGGTCTCGAATTCCTGACCTCAGATGATCCGCCCGCCTCCGCCTCTCAAAGGGCCAGGATTACAGGGGTGAGCCACTGCACCTGGCCCCATGAGCTATTTCTATTCTTCAAAAATATTTCATCATTTGGAAATTTTAAAGGTTATGAGGGATTTTTCTTAATTCAAGTTAGAGCAGTTCAGACATTAGGTTAATTCAACCAAATCATTAAATATTTATATTAAGATATAAATAGGATTCTAAAAAATTGAATTTATCTTACCCTATGGCTATTACTATCCCAAGTCATATAATTCTTATCAAAAGAAGAACACTTGCATGTCTTCATGCTAAGCAAATTTTTTCTCTCCTGTTATCCTTAGCAACCTGCTTATTTTTAACATATTTCTCTTTTCAAATTTTGTTTACATTTCACAGACAACATTCATTAAAAATATTGAAATTTTGAAAAATATCTAATAATTATTTTTACCAAAAAATGTAATAAGAGGCCTTTAAGTTAAGGAAGACAGAATGAAGGTGTATATTATATATGTTTCATTTCTAAAACCCTACTAAAATGACAGTAAATGGGGTTTACATTTTTGTTGAAGTCACCAAGCACAGAGAACAGGAGAGAGATGCAGAAAACATCAAAATAATTTTAGGAGCTGAGGAAGAGATGTATGAATTGTAACTAAATTAACATACCCAAGGAAGTCCAGTCAATTCCAAAGCTAAGTTGTTAGCGGTAAAGAAACCTATGTCATGCTACAGAGACCCAAAGTTTCAAAGATTTTTAACATCTGCTATCTCTTAGAGAGAGGGCAGGAAAGTGAGGCCCAACTAAATCAGAATAGTTTGAAAGGCTTTTGAAGAAGTAATGAGAGCCCTAAAACCTTCCCCAACTCTGTATTGTCAGGCAATGCCTCTTCCTTTATGTTATCAAAAGGCTGGAGTTTCATTATCTACAGAGCGTAAAATGAAGACATCAGTCACAAATGAAGGCCTGGGTATATTTCTGAAAAAGGGATGATTAAGTACATTTTGTTGCTATACTTAATGTTGAGATCCACAGTCTTCTTTCCACCCCCTTCCATTTGGTTCCCAGAATACTGGCAAATAACTCACAATTTCCGAGCATGAGATTGGAAGAGTCTGTAAGGAATATGGCTACCCTAAGAATACAGAACTTAAGATAATAGAAATATGGCTACCCTAAGAATACAAAACCTGAGATAACAGCAATAGGGCTACCTTAAGAATACAGAACCTAAGATAAGGATTCCCCAATTAAATTGTACAGCTGTAATATCATAAAATAAAGCTTACAGGTAACAAGCCTTTCCCACAGTTACCAACCCACTAATTAGTTTTAGTGCCCAATATTATATATAAGCATGCAGATAAAGATTCTTAAACATTTCAGTTAAGCCTCCTGTACAAAAGACAAAGATGAAACACATAAGCAAAATAAAAATAAAAAACAACTTGAAGGAAGCAGTCTATGAGTTGAGAAGAAAACTTCAAAAGAATTATTTTGTCAGTAAAAGGAAGACACTTTTCTTCCTCTAATAAAATAACACTGCCATACATAATAAAACAGATAACAAACAATAACTCTGAGAAATTAATAACATGATAGTATAAGTGAAAGGAAGAAAGACAGTGAAAGAATTTTCTAGAAGATAGAGCAGAGAAAAATAAAAATTAGGAGAGTAAGGATAAAATTAATAAAGAACCATTTTAGATTATCCAAATAGGAATAAAAAGAGTTCCAGAAAGATAAACTAAAACAGAAGAGAGAAAAAAATACAAAGTTAAGTGGTCTAAAAATGTCCTAAAAACCGAGAGACATGAGTTTCCAGATTGTAAAGGACCAGTGATTGCCCAGTAAAGCAAATGTAAAAAGACCAGCATCAGTACTTACCATCCTGAAATTAGAGAACACACAGAATAGAGAAATTACTGTAAAAGCTTTCAAAGAGACAAAAATAAATCAGTTATTAATATGAAGACTCCATAGACAGAATTGCATGAGACTTCTTAAAAACTACACTGAAAGCTAAAGAAAATGAAGTAAAGCCTTTAAAATTCTGAGGAAAATAACTTCCACTTCAAATTATATATCCTATCAAATTATCTGCTAGATATGAATGTGGGCTAAAGACATTTTCAGTATGTAAAATCCCCCCAAAATTACCTATGTCACTTTTCTAAGACCCTGAGAAAATATCATAAGCGAAAGTTGTTTAGGCTTAAGTTTTGTCTAGCCAAAAACCTTCTTTAACTGCAGAGAAAATGAAGTCAGCTTGCTTATATAAACACTGTTCCCTTATTCATAAGCTTAAACCAACACGATCAAGTATCATTATATAATTCAGAATTACCATTAAATGATGGAAAGAGCTGATCCATGTTAAAGAGAAGTAGAGAAAATAAAAACACTGGGTGGACAATTGATAACAAAGTTGTGAGATTTTTTCTTAAAGTTAGGAAGAATTGAATTTTATGAGATTTAAAGAGCTCACCATAATTTAGGAAAAAAGTAGTTTCAAAATCTTCTATGCTGAGATAAATAATTGAATTTCAAGGATGAAGAAATTTTAAAACATTTAGTAGGAGAAATAAGGGAATTTATACCTCTGTATTCTCTAGAGATGATCTATAGTGAATCTTGGAAGACAATGGAGCAATAATTGTAAAATTTTAAAAGCCCAACAAAGGTGTGAATAGCTTTTAATTTTTAGTCTATGCTTTTTGCACTACTGGAATTTTTGAAACATATACATTTCTAGAAGATTAACAAGTATTGATATATGTTTATTGGCACAGAATTCTGGACCTGTATTTGTTAGTATTAGGTTCAGCTACATGTAACAAAGTGAAACTAAAATGAAATCTATCAATTAAATAAAATGAATACTGGATAGGCAAGTTCGTTGTCTGTTTATCTCTTGAGATACTTCAATCTGGGCCTTCTCTTCCAGAAACCAGGCTTATACTAGCTTGCTATTCCAAGCTGATTTTCTCAAACTAGGCCATCATGTCTAAATTCTACATGAGAAAAGGAAGAAATAAAGTACTAATGATTCATTTTTAAGGACACGTACCAGAAATACCATAATAAAGATCTTCTGGCTGCGCACAGTGGCTCACTCCTGTAATCCCAGCACTTTGTGAGGCTGAGACGGGTGGATCACTCGGGCTCAGGAGTTTGCAGCTAGCCTGGGCAACACAGTGAGACACTGTCTCTACAAAAATATTCATACAAAATGTAGCTGGGTGTGGTGGCACACACCTATAGCCCCAGCTACTCAGGAGGCTGAGGTGGGAGGATCACTTGAGCCCAGAAGTTCAAGGCTGCAGTGAGCTGAGATCCCACCACTGCACTCCAGCCTGAGCAACAGAGAAAGACCCTGTCTCAAAAAAAAAAAAAAAATCTCCTTACCTCATACTGTTCAAAACTTAGTAACCCTTATTTTTAGAGAGGCTGGGAAAGAGAGGCCTTATAACTTTCTCACGGATTATAGAGTCACAGTATTCTATTTAAGTACAATAAAATACATAGAAAAATGTTTATATTTCTCAGTGGAAAAGAAAGGGTATTAACTTTGTCTATGCTATGATTAATAATATGTAAAAATCACATCTGCAATTGGAAAATGACTCAAATGTAAACATGGAAAAAGTAAAACTGCTACAGTTGTTCGGGATCATAACATTGTAAATTTATTTTTCCTTTTTGTCAATTAAAGTTAGTGCTCTTCAGTAAACTTTTTAAAATATTGCTTCAAGAGTAGTTGGAGAGACAAAGAATGGACCTGGAAATTTTATATTTTGACTTTTGTAGGTTATTAAATAGGTCTTTGGGGGCAGTGATCATTGGAGCACTTGGACCATTCAGGATCTTCAAGTGAAACAAAGAATATTACACAATGAACACTCTTCTTTACTTTTTTTAAAGTGTTGTCTTGTAGCTGTGAGCAGCTGATATTTTAATAGGAGCTTGAATGACATTATTTAAATCATTTTAACTATTAAATTATTGTTGATAAATTATTTATTTACTAAAATCAGTAAATTGAAGCTTTTTAAGCTATATGCACCAAATATATTTCTTCTTTTTTACTGTCATAGAAAGAAACTTTTATGATTTCAATGCCCCCAGAATCTGCCTTTCCTACCATATAACTATGAAAGAATTTACCATTGTTCATCAATACCTGAATCCCCATCCCACTTTCCACACCGTGTGATGATATCACTGCCCCTCTTGACATGAGACAAGGACATATAAATAGTTTGGATAAATGATTTGTCAGTAGAACCCATGTACCTCACTTTCTGATTGGAGAACTTAATTGGCAGAGACCCTGTATGTTCACTGTCCCTATTTTGGTGATTGTGAAATACTCATTACTACGTAACTCTGATGAGCAAAGCCCCTATCAGCCATTTTGGGCATGCGTTCCCAGTAAGAAATAGTAAGAAATAAACATTTGTTGTGTTTAACCAGAAAGAATAATCTGAGGGGACTATATTTGCTTTTCTGAATGTTAAATTTCAAATTTTCTATAAGCAGCCATAAAATCAGAATTGTGCTTTACTGTTTTCTCATAGGAGGAATCATGAATGCTAGAATTTTAAGCGTATTTATATATTCCCCCTCTTACACAATTTTGAAGTCCACTTTCATTTAAATTCACAAATTATTTTCTGTCATACAAAATATTATTACAAAACAAGCTTAAAACTGAAAATATCAACCATCAGTTGCAATTCTGATCTTAATATTTTTCTTACATGTTTGAATCTTATCAACATGGAGTTAGAGAATCAACTATATATTAAACGACTATATATGTATATGTATAAGAAGTGTGTATATGTATATTCATTTGTATATAATTTGGGTTTAATTAACATTGTAAAAATACACTTGTTTAAGGTATTTGGTTTATTGAGTTCTATAAAAATACATTTCTTTTAGGTATTTGGTTTATTGAGTTCTGGCAATTGTATAACTGTGTGACCATCATCCAAAACAAGGTAAAAAACATTTTCATTACCCAGGAATGTTATTTTTCTCCTTTCTGGTGAATCTCCCTCCCTCACTCTCCAGGAAACTAATTTCTAATTTCTGACAGATTAATTTTTTTCTGTTCTTGCTTTTTTTAATATATGGAAGCAGAGAATGGAACACTTTTTTGTTCCAGGTTTCTTTTGTTTAACAAAATATTTTTGCAAAAATTCACATTATTTCATTCAGTTCATTTATTTTACTTGATGAATAACATTCCATTGTATGAATACACTATAGTTGGTGTAGCCTTTTTCCAGCTGATGGATATTTGGGATTATTTCCAGTTTTTGCCTGCTATGAATAGGCTGCTCTGAACATTTTTGTGCATGTCCTTTTGGCAAAATATGATTTCACATAAGTTGAGTAAGTATCTAATTGTGAAATTCATACTGTAGAACAGCTACTTTTGGTGATATGTATATGTTAACTGGAATCAGAACAACCTTTCCACTTCAAGTTTATTCTCAAATCTGCATGTCTTAGGGGGAAAAACTATTAAATCAGAAGCCAATGAAAGCTTCTCCCTGTTTTGGTTCCTGTGGCTGGCTAGGGGGTGGATACTCAGACTCTTAGAATTAAATGCTCGTACCTTCAGCTTTGAATCTTGAGAAAGTGATCAAATGATGTGAGGATATGCAGACAGTTTTCATTTCAGTATTGACAGTCATCACTGTGACAGTTCAGCAATGGAAACAGTGATAAATACTCAGTGGTATTAGTGCCAGCAGTAATATCCTAATCAGACCATCACTGAGGCATAATGTTGCCTTTCTTTCCTGCTACCTGGATATTCCTGATATATGAACATTCTGAGTCTATTTTTTCCAGCCTTCTGTTAATATTATGAACTACCACACATTCTCCCAGTGAATTTCTTTTCTACTTGAGTTCTAAAATATATTCATGGAACTGTTGTAGTATTCTGTTGAAACAAGATGGACACCCACCTAAAGTCTGGTTCTCTGCCAAGACTGATGATACACACAAAAATAAGAAAATATATAAAATTGTTTATTTCTCACATTAGGAGACATTCTGGAGGAAGCAGTACAGGCTTCCAAGCTGGTCAGAAAATCATTTTAGAGAGTTGCATAAGGACACTGGCTTGACTTTCATGGTGATTACAAGTATAACTGAGTGAAGGTTCCCAGGTGTGGTGACCTAGGTTGCATGGTTTGACATTGTCACAGGAACCGGAAGCATCTGACCTTTTTATCAGTTTGCCCCGATGTGGGGCAAAAGGGGAACAGGAGTGGGAAGGCTGAAAAATGGTTAGTAGTCAAACATTAAAAAATGAAGTTAGATTCTTTATTAGAGGAGTTACTAAAAATATTAGTTGACCAAGACCAAATCATGGAGACCAAAATTATAATGAACACCTTCAAAAGGAGTAAAATTGTTGCCTCATTAATAAGTACTGAGCACATTTTTCTAAAATGTGGTAAATGGCAAGTTTAGTGGCTTTGGAATTAGATAAATATAACTTAAATTCTGGCTCATACCTACATTAACTATCACCTGGTACAAGTTATCTTATCTCAAGATTCATTTCTATCATCTGTAAGAATGGTACTCATAATAGCAGCATCACACAATAATTAAGAATGTCATCTCAGGAGTCACAGGGCCTTTGTTAAAATCTCCTCTCTACCATTCACCAATTCAATAGCTGAGCAAATAATGAAACCTCTCAAAGAATCAGTTTCCTCATCTAAAATGGAGAGAACAACAGTACCGATAGAAACATTGGGAAATAAATGTAATCACAGATTTGGCTCAGAATAAGAATTCACTAAACCTCAGGTGTTAATATTCTATTCACCAAGTGGATCCAACTCTACCATGTACTAACAAAAATTGCATTACTTACTGAAGATACTCTGAGAATGTAGGTTGATGTTTCATGTTACATACCGCACAGCAAAAGCTTTGTCAGATTGCGTATTTTGGGGCTTCCTTCTTCTCCATTAAGGTCTTTTCTCTACAAGCTACTTGTTTCCTCTCTATCCCTCCACAGACCCCAAAATCATCCCATGAATTGATTATTGTAATTAGTTCTTACCCTTTATTTCAATACCCTAATCAGCCACATACAATCCCGGGGTCACCATTGCATTAAAAAGGTCTTATCTTTTAACAAGTTTATGGAAGAGGGTCTTATTTGCTACAACACGGTGAGTGACTTACCATATTATTAACTCAACAAAGTATGTCTCTGTATAAAACAGGATATGTCTCCTAAGAAAATGAATATGTCTAAATAGTGCTATAAAGGAATTATACCTGTCTCATGAGCTTGCAGAGAGGATTAAAGTAGGTAATTTCTGTAAAGAATTTACTTCAATACCTTGCTCATGAGAGCTGGAAAATTCATATTAGTAATTTATATTAGTTATTAGTTACTCCCATTTGTGCTGTATGTAAGGATCTATTTCATATTTTCTCAAGATGGTATTTAATCTTATAATGGATCTGACATTTTAAAATTCTATTTGTTAAAAATAATATCTTACTTATGATGCCAGTTTACTTACCAAACTGTAAATGCCAATTCAAATTTTATGCAGTTCAAGGCAAAGCAAAAGAATAATTCATTTAAAATCATGGCAGCCAACTATAGACTGACAAAATATACTTTGGGCTTTTAAAATCTTCATTAATCTTTTAACTTTACTTTTCCTCTTTAGACTATACACTGTTTTTGTGCTTTCCAAAACCTCTAAGTCAAAACTGAAAACAAAATATTTAACTTGTTAGCCTTTAAATGCTTGGAGGGCTACTTTACTTATTTATTATTTTAAAATAAACTGAAGAATGTACAGAAATATTTGAACATTTAAAAAATATAACCTCTTACAGCAAACAAAACAAAACAATGTTAGATTTTATTCCTGAAGGTTTAAAATCTCTACTGCTAGTGATGCTAAAACTGAACAATCCTAAATAAAATCTTATAGTCCCTTTCTCTTCCCAAAGTAAGAATGCAGGCCTAGGTTAAGTAGCAGAAAAAAAGGCAGCAAAAATGTTTGCATTAATAACATAGAAAAATGCACTATCTTATCCACATCACGAAGGATAAAGAAAAGGACCAGGTTATATTTCAAAAGAAAAAATATTCATAAGGATATAAAATGCTCTTAGATCAATCCTGAGTTGAATATGCAGGAAGACTAAAGCTTTGACAAGAGGTGGGTAAGACAAGATGTTTGGTGGGTGATTCTCACCCTGCAACCCATTTCTTGAACATAGAGCCAATTACTAATGCTGCATATTTATGCACTAAGATTTTTGCATTTTTATCGAAGGAAAAGTACTCTGTTAAGAATATTGTTGAGGAGAAAACGTGTTTTCTAAGCTTGCTTAAATCTAGATTGAAAGATAAAAATCTACAAACACAGGTAAAAACAAAAACAAAAACAAATCTATTTATTGAGCAATCAATAAGCAAATGTATCAGATAAATACATTAATGGAGTGCAGGTGAAGTACTTGAGTCATTGTCATTTGCAAAACAATATGCTTTTGACTTGGTAGTTACTCAGAAAATATAGAATTTAGTTGCATAAGTACCTCCCTAGGTTGCTTTGTTCCTGATTTGGAAAGTGCAATCTATTTTTCTACAAATAGGAGAGGGAAACAAAACTTTGGCATTATTAATATGGGTGTAGAATAGCTCATGGTTTTTCAATGAGTCTGACTAAAATATACTTAAAGAATTTTAGGTCAAACATAACATTAGCCTATAGAAGACAGTATTCTCTGAATTCTGAGATGGCTTCAAGTCTTCAAAGTCTTTTGAGATAGCTAAAATGTTGCCTTTATGAAGAAAACACCATATTTACAACAGAACCAGGGACTATGCACATCAGCCAAGGCATGCCTGCTTCACACTGTAGGGACCCATTGTGCTTGTTGAAACAGACATTCCAACCTCCATTTCACACATCCTACATTGCCGCCATGACATTTTGGGAATTGACTCTTGTACAACACAATAGTGTGACTTGATTCATCTATGAATTCCTCTTGCCTGCACTTGGCTTAGATTTAAGCCACATTAAGCCAATAAATGCTTACAGACTTTTGCCAGTGGAGCTGTGGTAACATGTGAGAGTCACAGTTTCTCTCTCCTCTTAGAATGGGAGCATGGGAGCATGCTGCCTGTATTGTTGCAAGTAGCTATCCTGCAACTATACAGGAAGTATAATAAAACCAAACAAGCAAGAAAGTGAAACAAAGAATCTCAGAGAAATAAAGTCAGAGCTACTATTATGTGACTCAATATGATTCCTTGTTCTTCAGGCTGGTTTGAATGGAGTTCTTGCTATACACAGGGAAAAGCATCCCAATACAGGATGCTTTTCCTTTCTGCCTGCCTCTGAGAGGCCACTGTGTAGGAGCACACAGTGAATGCTGGCTTTACCACATCTAAGTACACTTATCTCCCAACTGTAGAATAAGCCCTTTTCCAATTTCTACAATCAATGAAATTTTCCTGACTTTCTTTTTAAAGTCTTGCTTCTTTTGAAACAATATAGAAATCTCTAGTTTACAGAAAACAAAGTAGAGATGGGGCACAAGAAAATTTTGTCTGGAAAAACAAAACAAAAATTAATTTTCCAAATTAAATTGTTGTAAGATTTATCAAAACAAAACCAAGCAAACCCACATATTTTTGTCTTCTTTGGAAAAGAAAGAAGAAAGAATGGAAAAGGAAGGAAGAAAGGAAGGAAGGAAGGGAGGGAAGAAGGGAGGGAGGGAGGGGAAGGGGCCTGGTGGCATGGTGGGTCATGCCTCACAGCACTTTAGGAGGCCAAGGCAGGTGGATTGCCTGGCCAACATGGTGAAACCTTGTCTCTTCTAAAAATACAAAAATTAGCTGGGCATGGTGGCAGGTTTCACCATATTATCTAGTGTAGGGAGACCCCCTGAAACTATTGCTATGGAATAAAAGATGAAATGCTCCTGATTATTGTAAATACAAAATTGCATGCAGGATTGTGTAAAGACAATGTCAGAATGAGCCAACAGCATGTGATGTGTTTCCCCCTCCAGAGAGCCTATGAATGGATGTGCAGTCAGGGAGGTTTCACATCACCAAGATTCCTATCCCAGAAAAGCAGATGTTCATAGCTCTGGGAATGGAATGCAACCCTTGTGGAGAGCCTATAAACAGATGCATGAGGGTCACCCGTTCATATGGATAAGATAGGGCTATAAATGCCCTCATCTTGCCATGGCTCTTCTAGGCCTCTTTAGGGTTAAGGCATACTCCCTTCTGAGAATTTCTGGTCTAACTGGTTGTCTAGCTTCACGTCCTGTTTCTATCGATTGTTTGTAACCAACTTTTGATGCAACTGTTACTGCTGATTAATATCTTGCTAACCATAGGTTATGGAAAGACTGTGTTTCTGTTTTAAGGCTCTGTTAGAAATTACTGATGCACACACTATACTGTAAATTCTTATCTCTGTATACTGTACTTCTGCATAGAGATGTTATGTTAAAGAATTACTTCATCCCCATGTGACCATCTCACCTCATAATCAAATGACCCTAAATCCCTCACTAACCTACCCCCGCTGTCACTAAACTTAATAATAAATGTTGGTATATCCAGTGCATTGGCAGCGTCACAAGAACAGAAGGCAGTTACCCCTTTGGACCCAGCTTTCACTATCTTGTGTGTGTCTATTATTTCTCGACCTGCCCATCCACCTGGGAACAAAGAGAGAGCCACGTTGCATTACAGGCTGCTGGCCAGATCCCACAATAGTCCAGGGTGGTCTCAAACTCCTGACCTCATGATCCACCCCCTCGGCCTCCCAAAGTTCTGGGATTACAGCTGTGAATCACCATGCCTGATCTATGTTTTATTTTTTAATAGCATTATGTAAGAACTTCATGTATGTTAATAATTTATATTTATTATTAGACTATTGGCAGAATTAAAATCAATACTTTCAATTTTATAGTATTTTGAAAATCTAGTATTACTTTTAAAGAGGTAGTCAACAAATCAATAAGTCAGTGGATTATAATAGGTGATATCGGAATTAGTATTTGAAAAGTCTGATGAAGACCATCTTACTTGACAAAATAGGAAAACATTGATCTATAGAAATCATTTTGAGAATGCTTGAATAATTCAGATATGATACTTATATAATGGATGGAATATAGCATTAGATAAATTTAGCATTGTCTACTCAACTATACTTAGCTTATCAAAATATCTGAAATAATTGGAATATACAAATACATAAAGAAAGAGATACATGTGTGTTTAATTTTTAAGTTAATTGCTGAACATTTATAATAATGAATCCATGGATCCCAGAAACACAGTGACTATAGGAATCTTAGAAGACATTTAGGAGCCAAAGACATGTTTCTGTCAAAATCTACAGCATCAAAGCCAAGTTTCTGTCAAAATTAAGTATCTAATTTGAGGACTGCACAGGATATTGAGAACAGGATCTACAGCCTAAGTCTTCTCGATATCAGAAATCTAATAAAAAAAACCAACATAAAGCTGAGAACTTGCATAAATTTGGAACCTTGAAGGGTTACAGTCTCAGTGTAAGTACAAATGAGAAATAAACCCCATTTTCCCCACTATCTTGGGGATTAACATTTGGCTCCTCATTGCTTATGCAAATTTCTACAGCTGGTTTGAATTTCTCTTCAGAAAATGGAATTTTCTATTCTATTGCATTGTCAGGCTGCAAATTTTCCAAACTTTTATGCACTGCTTTCCTTATAAAACTGAATGCCTTTAACAGCACCCAAGTCACCTCTTGAATGTTTTGCTGCTTAGATATTTCTTCTGCCAGATACCCTAAATCATCTCTCTCAAGTTCAAAATTCCACAGATCTCTAGGGTATAGGCAAAATGCTGACAATCTCTTTGCCAAAACATAACAAGAATCACCTTTGCTCCAGTTCCCAACAAGTTCCTCATTTCCATCTGAGAC